>NC_000013.11:93828736-94131766 GCF_000001405.40 Homo sapiens | reverse complement strand
ATGAAGAAACAGAATCATCAATGTTCATAACTTGGCCAGGGTTATATAATTATTATGGGATGAAGCCAGGTTTCAAGAATTTTAACATCAGACTCACGGCCTCTTTCCCTATTTATCGTGTCATCTCTGTTTTTGAACTCTAAAGTCAGTTTTTGGAAAAAAGAAATGACCCATTAAGATTACATATTTTCTTAATGATCTCCCGTATACAGAAATTGAAGACAATTCTCAAGACCATCATTTCTCAAATTAATTGACATTCAAACTTGAAAAAAGCTCTGTATTTCATATCATAGAGCTGTGTTAACAAAATGTTCCCAGAATGTGGTTTATTAAATCTGTCATTTTAAGTTATTTGTATTTTTACCAATGAGTTAGTATTTTCTCTGTAAAGTGAAATAACTATCACAGGCACAGAATGAAAATATTTATTTTATTTTTTGAATTTTTAAAGCCCATTGTAAATTGCTAGAGGCGAAATGCACAATAAAGCCATAAAAATAAAACAGAAAACCTTTAAAGAGGTTTTCGGCATTCCAGAAAATATATACTTATCACAGATCATAAATGCAGTCCTGGATAATTTTAAACATATGGTAAGTTTCTTCTTAAGTACTTATATTTTAGGAATCTTAATTATGTTGTAAATCTTTTTCTCATCACAGAATAACTTTGCCTTGAAAATCTGTGTAGGTAAGACTGCTACTTCTTTCCTCATAATATTTATAGGAGTTGGATTGGCTTACAATTTGCAATTCATTAATTCAGAATATAATTCCCCATAACTAAGGAGTTTCTTGTCTAGTTATTCAACTCAGTAGTGCTTCATTACATTAAACTATGAGCTGCAAAAACAAACAAATTATTTCTCAAGTACTTAACAGTCCATATGTTATAAAAACAGCCTGTGAAGGTGTTATACTTACTTCTTCCTATGAAGTAATGCTTAGTATTTACTACTCCACTGTCAGAGTAGCTATAAGCTTATTAAAACTTTTCTCTACTCCTATGAGGACTCTTAATAAAGCAGAATGACTTCATGGTCATTTTCTTTGCAGAAAAAGAACTGTCAGAGAGTCTTGCACTTTTGAGATTCTCTGAGATGAGCTGCCTGGGTGTTACTTGACTTCATATTAATAGTAGCTAAATAGAGTTTCCAAAGAGGTTTCCTACTGTACTTTCAAAATTAAAAATTGGAAGCCTTGGTCCCATTCTCCTTTCCTCTTGACAATCTTGAAGTTCTCTTCTGCACTTAGAATGCTGGTTTAGGCTGGGTTTTTGCATTTACTAAGCAAACTAAATACATTTTTTGTTCTAACACAGTGCTATGGTATTAACACTTACTTACTCTTGTACTTTTCTTTCTGAATTATGATTTATTTCCCTTTGCTTCACTGTAGAGACTTAAGAGTATAAAATATAACAACTGTTCCTTTTGGATCCTATCAATTGCCTGACTGACTTAGGAAGCTAAGATAAAATAAAAAAGCTAGGAGGCCTGGTGGACAGGGTTAGTTTTGATACAGAAAAAGTTAATTTGGATAGTAAAATGGTTAGAAGTACCTTCTGTTGAAAAAAGAAAAAAATAAACTTTAAATCCTTCAAATATTGCATGTGTGTTCATCTGAGTTTTATTTATAGTACTCAAAAGTCCAACAGATCCTAAACATTAATCAGTATGAGAGCATTAAATATATCTTGCTCCATCAATGCAATGAATATGATTCCATCACGAAACAGAACTTTCATATTTACATGGAAAAAAGGTATATCTTACACTTTAAACAATCTGCAAAATGGTATGAATATAAACATATTTGTGTAATATGATCTTCTGTGTAACATACAGACCCTGCCTGGTTCATTATACTTTCCATTTATCCTACTGACCTCATTCATTTTAAAAAGAAAATTGCTTATGTGGCCTTTGAGTCAACATAACCTTTCAAGGAATCTTTCAGTTTCATAGTGGGCTATTCTATTAGTCAAGATCTAGCCAGAAAACCAGAAACCACTCCAGGTTCAGAGTGGTTTTCAAACAGAAAGTATTTAATACAGGGAAATAGTTACACAGGGGACAGAAGAGTTGAGAAACCAAACAGAAGTTAGAACGATGACCCAGACATTACCAAAGGAAGCCACTCGCTCTGCTAGGGCTTATGGGATAACAGGAGGAGCTATTACCCAAAAACACAAGCCAAAGTCTCTGGTGGGGGATTGGGTCACAGAAGAGTGGGAGGCAGAACCACAGGGTAGACACAGTTGTTACTGCTGCTACTGCTGCTGTTACTGCTGGAGACTTGGAAAGGAAATGGAGTGAGGAGGAAAAAATATTCCAGCTTCTCTCCTGCTTGGGACAGGTCTTCCATAAGTCCCTTTGATTGGCTTAACTGACCCAGAAGCTAAAGAACAAGGGACCCTGGGAAATGTAATTCCCTGCTTATAGAGAGGCGAGTAGAGGAAAGGAGAGGAAGGGATCTGAGAGCAGGCAGTAGTTGTCCAGCACAGCTTATGGTTTGTCCATTACTGTTTCCATTCAAGTGGTGGTTTAGGATAACCCTGAGATTTCTCATTATTTCAATTTATATTGTTTGTTCTAAATACTGAGTAACTACAGCATGTTTTTAAAATGTGCTAAACACACATTATAAATACCTACATAACTGAATACTATAAATGCCACAATTTAATAACTTCACAATGTAATCATAAAATTTTAAAATTTATCAGAGACACTGTAGTCTGAGCCTTTTTTGTTGTTGTTACTGAAACAAATTGAGGTTCAAAGAAGTTAAGGTGAATTTCAGAAAAATGCTTAGAGATACTGGTTTTTGTATTTGAGTAACGTGGGTGTGGAAAAAAGTAGTTATGGAGGAAGAATGGGATCTAAAATAAATGATCATGGTAGTAACTGACATTGTTTGACACATTTGTGATTCTCCGACCTTCTGAATAAAGATATGCTAACATAAGGGGTGATGGCAAATGCACACAAATGATTAGGAGGCTCACAATGCTGTTTGCCAGATCTTTCCAGTTCTCTTCATTTCTGGTCACATGGCAGCATTGCAATTTCTGGCTCTCTTGTGGTTAGATAGGGCCAAGTAAATTGTCCTGGCCAGCGAGTTGTAACACTCTGTCACTTCCAAGCCAGAGCATTTAATTGCCCGTTAAGACCAGCCAGAGCTCTGTCTTTCCTGCAGTCAGAATGACTGGTAAAATTCCACACAGCAACTGCTATGTCACCTAGGATCCAAAGTGAGGACACAAGTGTAGCGTCCCCACCTGACTCATATTAGGCATGTAATGCTAGAAAGAAAAGAAACTGCATTGTTTCAAGCCACTGAGATTTTGAAGTTGTCTATTATCACAATACAACTAGCTTATCCTGACAGATACAGTGATCTATTGTGCTCTCTATTAAAAAGTACACAACTACAACCAAATCAGCTTGCAAGTGATCATTATTTACTTAGCTGTCTGTGGAGTCATTATAAAAATTTTCCTACTTTACAGACCATCATCTAAGTTAGTTAATGACCCACCCAAAAGATGATGAGTGTTACTGGTAAAATAAATCTTTCCTAAATTTTCATCAAAAGTCTAAAGTGTTTCCTTCTAAATAAACACACTGATTTTAAAATCTAAGAGAAGATAAATTCTAATATTTGAGAATTAAGTGCTGATTAATAAGTGTTGGAAAGAATACATCATGATATAAAATAGATTACTATTCCCTGTAGGGGAGCAGAAATAATCATGACTGTGGACTGTATAACATTGTCTACAAGGCAATCTAACTCCCTTTGCTTAAGCCTTTCCTTATTAAGCACCTTCTAATTCCTAATTTGGCTTTCTAGACACCTTGATATGCCTTGGATAGCAGATAGGAACATTCAGGAGCTAGAAATGATTATTCCTCCACCTTACTCTAAAAACGAATTTAAAAATGACACCAATTTTCTGACCTGGTAACACTAAACCAGTCACCTGTGGCAACCTCATCCACATGTGGCCATCTGACTAGCAGTTCCCTGGCACTCTTCTTGCTTTTACAATTGAAATAGCAATAATTTAGCAAAATATTATCTGCCCATTTGTAACTGGCAATGACCAGGGCTGGTCCAGATGTACAAGAATCTTGGCTTTGGGATTTTTACCACTGTATTAGGTAGTTCTTGCATTGTTGTAAAGAAACACCTGAGAGTGGGTAATTTATAAAGAAAAGAGGTTTGATTGGCTCACAGTTCTGCAGGCTTTACAGGAAGCATAGTGACATCTGCCTCTGGGGAGGCCTCAGGAAGCTTCCAATCACAGTGGAAGGCAAAGGCGGAGCTGGCACATCACATGGCGAAAGTAGGAGCAAGAGAAAGAGTGGGAGGGGAGGTGCTTTCAAATGACCAGGTCTCACAAAAACTCACTATCACAAGACCAGCACCAAGCCATGAGGGATCTGTCCCCATGATCCAAACACCTCCCAACAAGCCCCACCTCCAGCATTGGGGATTACAATTCAACATGAGATTTGGGCAGGGACAAATATCCAAACTCTATCAACCATGTACATGGATGCAAACTCTCCTTCATAGGTTCAAACCACTCTTAAGAGTGAACAATACAGGGTGATTATGGAATGATACATATTGGAGTTTCTGAATTTTCAATGTTCAGTTCAGTTGTGACATCCTAGGCCCAGATTTAGAGTAGGAAAAAAAGTTACCATATTGAAAAATGACTAGTACATATATATTTTTCTTAAGAGATAATATAATTTTAGGATTTAAAAAAATCAAAAGTGAATAAAATATTAGAGATTTTCACTTTTAATCTATATACCAAAAACATTTCTATAAAATACTGTAAATAGATATTTAGTCCCTAGCTAATGGCTGCCTGAAGGCAATTTTCAGAACAACACAACTTTCCTTAGAAAAATAAGGATTTAACTGTGAATACTATTACCTCAAGAGAGAAATAAGCTCAGCCAACTTCTTATGTTATCAATATACACAGAAAAAGTGTACAGGTCCAAAAACATTAAGGAAGAAATGAAGCAAACAGGTAATAATATTTGATTTTTTTGTACTCCTCCTATTACCCCTGTTACTTATTTCTCCTCCTATTTTTACCCTTCTATTAATTGATGAGAAGATGACATTAAATGCCTAGGATGCATGGAAATAATTTGATAAACCAGAAATTAATTTTAGAGAACCTCAACTCTTTGAAAACAAATTGGCAGTTCAACTTTTTCCTGGTAGAAAGTCACTAAAAGCCACTTTCATATTCACTTTTTTACAAAGGCTTGTACTGTTAAGTATAAATTTGAAATCGGCCTCAGGCATGATAAAAGTATATTAGTATTGCTTTATTTTTATATTTTTGTGGCAGGGTCTTGCTCTGTCACTCAGGCTGGAGTACAGTTGCATGATCAGAGCTCACTGCAGCCTCAAACTCCTAAGCTCAAGTGATTCTCCCACCTCAGCCTCCTGAATAGTTGGGAATACAGGCAAGTGCCACTGCACCCAACTAATTTTCAATTTTTTTTTTGTAGAGATGGGATCTTGCTATGTTGCCCAGGCTGGGCTCCAACTCTTGCCTCAAAGTGATCCTCCTGCCTCTGCCTCTCCCAAAGTGTTGGGATTACAGGCATGAGCCACTGGTGCCCAGTTGGTATTGCTTTATTTGAGTAGTCTTAATCTCGCCTTGGTTGTTATCATGATGCCCTCCTTATATTTTTCTTTAATTGTTTAAAATTTTCCATACACATAAAATAATGTATATATTCATTTACATGGAGATATATTTACATGAGATGTTACTGATATTCATTGTGTAAGATATAATATTGCACAGAAATGGTTTTTTAGTTACTTATTTCATAAAATGCATATTTTTCAACAAGTATTTAATGAACCTTATTATGTGTATGAAAGGTCTGGAGTTTATAATGTAACTTTTAAGGATTGGTGGGTACACAGCAGTGCTCCACGCTCATTTCTTTGCTGACTTCATTTAACTATTTTGTATTTAAAAAAAAAAAAAGGCAAGAAATTGGCCTTTAAAATTTGACAACACCTGAGAGACATAACATGAGTCAGTGTTCAGAATCAGCCTGGCTGGGCCAGCAGTGCAGGTCTCTCCTGGGTGGTTTGCTCCCAGGATTTCCAAGGCTGTGAACACGATCAGGAAGATAAGATTATTTGACTTTCTAGTGGTTTTCAGAAAGAGAGAGTTTTTCAAAATGAATAACTATATTTTTAAAAGCCTTTTTCCCTAAAAGCAGTAGTATTTGGTGATAAATTGAATGCTTCTCACTGAACTGAACATATCATGATATAGATAGAAACCTCAGTCTGGGAAAAAAAATGCACATGGCACCTTTCATAGGATCATAAGACGAGCTATTTCTGATACTTAAAGCATCTAGATTGTAGAGAAGGAATTTCTGTTAAGGCAGGTTCCTTTTTTTGAGATACAAATGATATGTTTCATACAAGACATTGTCATAAAATACACCTGTCTTGTTTATACATTGCTATTATTGGTTCATAAAATAGAAATTTACATAACTATCTTTTACATAGAAAAAATGGTACACACATATAGAAGGAGCACAGATACAGTGTCTTGTAAAAGTAATTTACTTATCAGAGACACATGGATGGCTCTTAGCTCCACTCTTGTATTTAAGGTTAAGTGAAAAAATACAGAAAATACTGTTAGGAGAGATTCTTTCCTAATTTATGAATGGCTTGGTAAAAAAAAATTATTTTTTACCTTTTCTGTTTATTTGTTTGCTTGCTTGTTTTTCAGTTTATCACACAAATTGCCTGGCAAAGTACAGTTTCTCCTGATGAGTTAGTTCCACCTCTAGGGTTCCTTCTTGCCATTCCATTTGGGGAGAAATGGAAAAATGATAGGCTTTGGAAGAAGACAAGTTGTGTCTTTATATTATTCATATTATCTTTAAAGGGACAGTTAGAAATTCTGACTTGTGTCCTTGCTTTCAATCTCTGTCTCTACAAATTGAATTCTTAAAAACCTTTCAGGGACTCTGAGATCCTTGTGAAATGAGGTTCAAACTCTTGAATGTGAGCGAGAGGGCATTCCCAGTGTACCTCCTTTCTGCCTCGCCAGCCTTCTCTTGACCCGTTTCCCCCTTTTACTCTATACCTCCTCCCAAATGTCAATGTTTACCTCTCCTCTATCCCCCAGTGTGTGCTTTTTCACCCCCTTTACTGCCTAGAAAGTCCTGTTCTCCAAGACCATAAAGTCTTCTCTGATTTGTCCACATGGACTCATCACTTCTTTCTTTGTTTTCATATGATGAGTTCACTGAAGGCAGGAATCATGACTTGATTATCTTTGCATCACAGGTGCCAAGCTGAGCTTAGACTTAGTGCATGATGGGCTTTTTGGAAACATTTGTTGAATGAATAAATGAGCCCAATGACCAAGATGCACACAATTCACAAAATTGAAAGGAAAAAGTAGGAAATGGGAAACTGAGAACAATTTGAATGGCATGTAAGTAATGGGATGTCAATCAAGAGTCATGTTGTAAAAATGAAGTGCTTAAAGAATACCTAAATAAACCCATGGACTTGGAAATCATGGTTTTAGGAAGGACTTTATTTTTCAAAGGAATATACGGGGCTATAAAGTCACATTTTTAAAGGTAGTAGACTCTTCTAATTGTGCTTTTACAAGATTTTAATTTTATAAATGATTCCCCCTCCCCATTTTCATTAGTGTATCTTATTTACTTCAGTAATTCAGGAAAACATTTTATAGCAGTGTTCTATTTAGTATTAGCACATCTGCTCCCAGAAAGGCTTCTATCTATAATAAGAACATTCTGTGATTTAGATTTAATCTAATATTTGTCTTACTTCACACACTGGATAAACAGGGCTCATTAGCATCAAACATGCAGAATCTTTGTTTTTCATGACTGCAAAGCTGACCTTTGAAATGTAATCTTGTGTTCCCAAGATTAGTATCCAATAAATCACAACATGCATTATAACTATCTTACCCCCTCCCCCACTCCCTTTTCAAATACAAACATATGCGTGCATGCATACAAACACACACACAGTTGCTTAAGAGCTCAAAGATTTGTGGCATTTTGGGAAGTTTTTAACTCTTGGTTTCTGAAAAATGATAAATAAGATGTTATCTCATGATGATATTTATACCATCATATCTTAGTAACCAAGACTAGGAATAGAGAGAGATATAAGATGCCTTATGCAACAAGAGATGACTATTAAAGAACAAGGTATATGAATTAAGTTTACATATCCAGTAACTTAAGTATATATGTTTGATATACCTGTTTCATAATAGGATTAAAATATATATTAACATGATTAAGAGTTAAACATTTTTTGGGGAAGTGTTTGTATTTAACAAAGTGTTTTGGTTTCTTAATTTTTTCCTTCAAATTGAATGCAAAGTGACATTTAATATGGCTCTACATTTTATAGCTCAGACTTAATTTAAGGATTTTCTAGCTCATATATTTTTGTCATTGTAGATATTTTTAAAGCATATTTCTGTAACGTTTTCAAATATTGATACTTAAATATTTACTAATAGTATTTTGTCTATGTCTCACAGTTTTTTTAAGTTTTAACATTTTGAAAAGATTTATGACATTTATAATATAACTCATATATGAGAATGGCTAAAATATTATGAAATGATTTTTTAAACTGGGTTTGAGCTATTTCAGTAAGATATTAGCAAGGGCCAATACATTATTCAAAGGCAACAGGGATTCTTTCTTTAGCTTTCTAAATAGCTAAGACAGAAGCTTAGAAACATTTTAATAATAAACCACTACAGAAGTAAACATGTTCTGCAAACAAATTAGGTCATGGTTGCATGTAAGAAGAGCGTCAAAAACACACAAAGTGAGTAAGTATGATTTCTGAAGTAAGCATTAAAATTCAACATACACTGCTTCATATAATGTTGAAGCTTTATCTGCAAAATGAGGAAGTTGGAGAGATTTTTGCAGCAATTTAAAATATGGAAATAGCTCTCTTCTGGCTGATTTATGACGTGTGCAGAGTAGTGAATGAAAGAACTAGAGTTTAGCCTGGGAATACTTTTTCCACCAAATAACATTTCAGGTTTAATCCTGCAGTGTGGTTTCATCTATTTCTCATCTCCTTTCTTACCCATGCCAAAACTGCCCTGTAACGAGTCTCAGATCAAATAGGAAAGTTGGCCAACAGGCTGGAGTTGCAGGACTGGTCATCCAACCTAATTACTAACTTTGGGCAAAGCCAAACCTAACACACCTCAGGGAGACAGTTATTTATAATACACACTTTAAAATATTGAGTAAATGTCAGAGGTTCCAAGAGTTTGAAACGCAGTCAGACTGGACCTGACTTTAGATGCAGGCAGAACAATCTGAGTATCTAATTTTCCTGCTCCATAAAATGAAGTCAAATGAGACTTCATAGAGGATTAAATGAGAAAAGCCTGCAAAGTGCCCAACACAAAACATGGCACACAGTAGTTTCCAAAAAATCAGGTGTATTCTCTATATTTTAAAAAAAATTGTGGCTTTCATTTTTATACCTCTTACAAATAGAAAACTTTTTTTTATTTATATATAATAATCCTGCAAGAAGGACCTTTCACATTATTTCTTACCCCTCCAAGCACTATTCCATTCAGACATAGTCTATCTTTTAGGGTGCCCCATAAACTAGACCAGTAGTTTTAAAATTGTTTAACGGTAGCACCAAGACTCTTTTTTCCAAATGAAATCTTATGCTGAATCCTAGTAGATAAAGATATGACTCATATCAGAACAGTTGTGCTGAAGCATGGAATGAGTGGTTGGGTAGGAGGAGCACAGTAGCCCAAGGACTCCTGTATTACTGAGTGTGAAGAATCTTGAACATGAACAATGCTGATTCAATAGAAATCCACAGACCCTGGAGAGGTGCAATGTACAGCTCTATTTTAAGATTAAGAGGAAGTACTGATGATAATCTTTAAAAAAATCAGCTGGATGACTAACCTAATAACTGGATAGTTACAAATATCTCTGTGTCTATGTTTTATTTGGGTTCACAATCATGTTGGCTTCCAGCCCTCATCTAAATTGATAACGCTTAACAGATAATATATCGTTAAGTATTGCCGTGTATCCTAATTTCAAAGATGATAATCATCCAATGTCCATTATATTCACGTTAAATTATTTTTACCAGTTATAGAAATGAAACTTTTCTTCCTAAGGGATAATTACTGCTTGAAAAACATTTTTATTGAATGACTTTTGTGTTTCGAGTTATTTAATAAACTGAGATTTGGATGTGACATTATAAAAACTGCAAAGTGCGATAGGATAATATACAAAAGTAATTATCCTTGGCTAGAGAGAAAACAATAAAGGTAGAATTAATCTGTGGGTTTTGTGTAAAACTAATGCCAACCGTCTTTATTCCTGTGCTTCTACAGGGCCCACTCTGGGAACACAAGAATGAAGATAAGCAGTCATTACAATGGAAGAAAGTGGTGTGGCAGAGGTATGGTACCCCAACAGCACATGGTGGTGTAAGCTTGCTGAAGTCAAAGGGACCTGTTGAAAGAGGTTTAGTCATGACTAGGCTCTGAAAGACTCTGCACTAGATCTGTACCCAGCGTTGATTCTCCATTAACATTTTCTAGCCTCATTTCCTTTGGGTGTTTCCCTCCCATTAATCTTTTTAATGGTCCCTCTGTGAATGTGCCTTGCCTCCTGGGTCACTCTCAGACATTTTAACAGAGATCACCCAGAGACAATGCTTGAAGCCCAGAGAACTGAACTAGTGGGAATATAATCTGTCTTTGCCGGCTGTTGGGAAAGGGAGGTAGCACTCCTTAAATCACATCCCTAGATGGCTGTCTATCTTATTTAATCAGAGAAGAACTCACTGGCTCTCCTGAACACCTGATTCATTGATTCCTCCTACACCTTTCCCCACATCTTAGTGTTTGTCTTTCCTACTAAAACACTCTCAATTTCCTCAGGCTTTATTTATAAAGTCTATATTTATATTCCAAAGCCTTTATCAGTTGTATTCAATTGTGGGGGCACAAACAATACTACGATCAATTCTGTGGTTCACAAAGCAAAACAGAATGTTTTCTCAGTTGTAAAATGCTATCAGTTGCTAAACCCACATTGATTTCATACCAGCTTTTCAGGGGAAAAAAAAAAAAGAAACCATATGTATTAAGTGTACATGATCAGTTTCTAGATGCATCCCAACTTAATCCTGATTTCAGAAACATTAACCGGAAGAAACCTGGCCTTTAAGAATAGAGGAATTAAGGTAAGTGACTAAGGCCAGGATCATACTCTCATGCTCTTAAGCTACTTGGGAGGGAAACCATGGGCAGGTGCAGGGTTTGTCCAAATGTTTTCTGCTGAATCCTAAAGGTTTTGGAAAACCTCCTCACTGGTCTCCCTGCTCCTGCCTTTGACCACCTATCACCTGTTTTCAGAACAGCACTGCGATCCTTCTACAGTCTGGTGGTGTATGTCTACTGCTTATGAGCCCTCACTCCGAGGAAATCCAGTGGTGTGCTGAAGCCAGCTCATACCAGCTCAAGAGAGCTGACAAATTTTGCAAGCTTGAGAAACGCAGCCATTCTTAAAAATTAAATTACATAAACATATAATTATATACATTATATTTAAAACATAGGTAACTCATTCTCAAAACTCATCCCTTCCTATTACGCTTTACTATATCATCTATGCTCTTGCAGCTATTTACATCTATTTTATCTATATGTAAGAAATACTATATGAGCGTTGGTACCGCTGCACTTCCCTTCCCAGCTCCACATTCAGCAACGTCCTGCTTAGTCTCAGCCCTGGTGTGACTGTTTCCACTATAGCAATTGACAAATGCTACAAATCAAAGTCAAATCTCTTCCCCTTCATTCCCCCAAGAGCTGATTGTTAAACATTTACTAGCATACTGCTGAGTAAAACAAAGTCCTTACACAGGTCTACAAGGCACTCTGAGATCTGGCTCGCTTCCCTCTACTCAAGCCACACTGGTGTCCTTGCAAGGGCAGACTCATTGCACAACTCCAGGGGGCACTGGTCACAGTGTTTTCTGTGTATGGTGCTTCTCCTGCCCACTGCCCTCAGCCAAGTTGTGTAATTTGGAGAAACGATTCTTACCTGGGTCTGGACAAAGCCAAATACAGTCCTGTCTCCAGGCTTTGCACCTGCTGTTTCTCCTGCCTGTAATGCTATTCCCCCACAACCCCTGCCCTATTGCTCCTTCACCGCCTTCAGTTGTCTGCTCAAAGGTCACCTTGTCAGTGAAGCTTTCCCTGACCACGCCATTTAAAGGAGCAAACATCCCCTACCCCTCCTTTGGCTCTCCTAGGCTCCCTTCTCTGCTTTATTTTTCTTCAGAGCACTTATCACCAACTGACATACTGCATCTTTTACTTTTTACTTCATTGTTGTCCCTTTTTTTTCTCCAGAATGTAAGCTCCAACACAGCTCAGGCTTTGTTTTGTGCATTAGATACCAACGACCTGGAATAGTGGCTTGCATATAGTAGGTGCTCAGTAATATTATTGAATAAATGAGTGAATATATGAGGATATTAACAAGAATTCTGATTTTATACATATATGCACACACATATATTGTAATTTTAAATGTATATATATATACACATACATATATGCAAGTGTACACACACACACACACACACACACACACATACATAATGTATATACAGGCCAGGAATTTGAATATCTAGATTTGAGTTATGGCTGTGATGCTGATGGACACTTCTTACTGGAGGTTTAGTCGAGGAGCCTGCTTATGCCCAGAGACACTCTCTGAAGCAGAAGTAAAGCACAGGAAGTGTTTCTTTGGCATATAGTAGGTTTCTCTTTCTGCTAGAACAACATATGGGAGCCTGACTCTGTTGAACTCCCTTAGAGACAGGAAATTTTCTCATCACTGAAGGAAATCAAGGCAGGAACTTAAACTAGTTCAAGAAAGGTGGCTATAGCTAAAGAAGGGAGAATAAACTTCAAAAAGCAATAGAAACCTTGACTAAAAGAGAAAGTATGAGTTTTCCTGAACAGGGACACAAGACATGAGAAACAAGAAAAGAATAATGCAGGGCAAATAGAAAAAGAGAAGGAGAAACGCCATATGTTCACATGAAATGATTTGGGATTGGCAAAAGTGAAGATCTGTCAATATCTAAGACTCTCCTGATCGTCTCTGTATTAGTCCATTCTCATGCTGCTATAAAGAACTTCCCGAGACTGGGTAATTTATAAAGGAATGAGGTTTAATTGATTCATAGTTCTGTACGGCTGGGGAGACCTCAGGAAACTTAAAATAATGGCAGAAGGGGAAGCAAACATATCCATTTTCATATGGCAGCAGGAGAGAGAACTGCCAAGCAAAGGGGGAAAAGCCCTTTATAAAATCATCAGATCTTGTGAGAACTCACTCACTATCACGAGAACAGCAGCATGTGGAAACTGCCCCTATGATTCCATTATCTCCCACTGGGTCCCTCCTATGACACTTGGGGATTATGAGAACTACAATTCAAGATGAGATTTGGGTGGGGACACAGACAAACCACATCAGTCACCATTCTTCTTCATATTTCTTCCATATTCAATAATTTTAATAATCTAATAATAGGCAATTTTACATTAAAATCTTCCTTTTACATGGACTTTAGAAATCATTTTGGATATGTTAAAGCAGAAACATATCTCAAACATTACAACCTTCATTTCAAAAAGTTTTCAATGTTTCCAAATTACATGTCCTCAGGAAAATAATTTTCCAAGCATGCTCCTACTCATATGCCAATAACCTCCAAATCTATATTCAGAAATCATCTTCACCTATGAAAAACCAGATGTATTTGTGTTATTCATTTGCCCCAATGAGTAATTGCAATAAATGGGAAGCTGGCCTAAAATGGGGCATCCTATAGGCAGAACTGAGAATTGACCGTTGGTCCATGGTGCCTGCTGAAGTTTAAGTGTTCTTTCCTTTCTCTACCACTTACTTTGTTCTCTTCTTGTCTGCAGGTCCTAACACTGAACCTGGCATAGAGCAAGTGTTTGGTAAATATGTTCTGAGCCAACAAATGAAGGAGTCCAATAAACAGGATGACTTGATTTGCCTTGACCACCTCTTCTTCCTCTTCCCATGATTCTTTATGAGCATGTGTGATTTAGGTAATTGTTCTCTAAGCCCTATATTGTAAATGGTAATTAAGACCAATGATAGAAGCCAAATTCCGAGTGACATTTCTTCTTCAGGAATAATAAAAGTTGGTTATAACATCTACCCTTGATGTTATTCACCTACTCAAATAATTGCCTGGGATTTCCATTTGTTAATGACATAGAATTATTATTCAGGATACAACACCTTTGGAATTATAATTAAGCCCTGGGTTTCTCTGACCAAGCCACACTATGTGTCTGGTGCTAAAAGCAGAGTCAGTGAGGTGGAGTCCATAATGAGTGATTTTCCTGTGCATTATAAATCATTTAGGGGAAGAAAGCAGTCTTATTATTAGGCAGAATGCTTGTGCAGCTATGTTGGATACCAAGTAAGGAACAATGATTGTTATGGAATTAACAAGATATTAACGTCGCTGCTCCTTAGTGCACTGCAAGGGTAATTGAAATACTCCAATGCTCAAGTAATCTCATGGGCTTCAGAAACATAGTACTGTATTTGGGGGGGAAAAGAACCCCAAACTCTGTTATGTCTCATTTTCATTAAAATAATAATAATAATAAGAGATCAACTCATTATGACAGTGCCTTGAAGGTTGACAAAGAAGTTGATGTTAACATGCTCACCTAACCTGGGCAGCAGCTTGTTAGAACAACTGCTTTTGAAAACCATTACTCCTTTTAATTGCTGTCATCTTCACTCAAATATCCTTGAAGGCAGTGTCTAGGCAACTGTAGCCACAGAATCATCATCAGGGAAGATGGAAATAGGAAAGACCATGAGTTCATTCTCCATCGTAGAATACAAACGTAAGCGCTAATGTGAACACTTGCTTATTCAAGGCATACTTGTTTCAATGCTTAAAATGGAAAGTTATCTTCTGGGAAATGATCAATTATTGTAAGGAGGCAGGATAATATGACAGGAAAGAAACCAAGGGCTTTGGACAGCCATACATGGTCATATTTATTAACCATAAAAGCCTGCCCACCTTTTATGCATGTGAATTCTAAGCTCAATGTGTTCAGGGGCTCAGAATGAAATGTTAATATGTAAGGTCCCCTGTCCCCTTCCAACCCTTTGTGCACCTTTACATATGACAATTGGGACTTCTTTTAATTTTCTCTGGTTCTTTAGCTTTCTGAGTTTGGAGGCTGTATCTGTCTCGTTCACCACCGTAACACCAATATCAAGCGCAACTTCCAGAATGTAGTAGGCATTTCATTCATGTGCACTGATATGGTAAATGGGGGTGCTGTATAGATTAAAGGAGTTAAGATACATGAAGTTCCCAGCATCCAGGAACTATTTAGTTAACTATTTGTCTTCTCTCCCCAGTAAACACAATTTGTTAAAATGTCTAATTTATAACTAAATTACTAAATTATAACTAAATTACTAAAGCACTTAATGCTGATACTTATTATTTATAATTATCCTATATTTTCATATCAATCTCAGAAAATTAGGGGTTTCTAAACCTTGAGTCCTTACAATATTTCTATGAAATAGGTATGGGGCAATACAGGCCCCTCATTAAGAAATCTTGATACGTAAAATTAACTAATTCAGAGAGTGAAAAGAATCACCGTAGGACTTCTATAAATATTAAGCTATTTTTGTAAACTGAAAAAATATTCTTATTTACTATAATGTGATTTATAAATAGGACTACACAAACTGTATAAAGCTAAAATGTCTAATTTTTACAGTTTAAGAAAGTAGAAATGGTATAAATATCCTTCATCAAGCATCCACATAGAAATGTTCGTAGGTTTGTGTTGAGAACTTAGGAATTCCAGTTACTGGGCCAGGAATTTCTCCTTTAGAATACACAGGTTTCTATGAGCTACCAGTGTACACGTAAACAAAATCCTCACATCTCTTCTACCTGGATTACAGATCACCAAATTCTGGTCATGACTAGCTGGTTTGGGACCTGAGGAAGGGTCAATGAGTCTGTTCTCTGTGACTACGTAAAATGAAAGACTAGCCCAGAGGCAGAGAAATCAGGTTGAATGAAAGAAAAAGCAGTCCCTTTGTTTGAAGAGATTTATTTCCCCTTGCTTAAAAAATTCAGCTGGGACCATCTCCCTTGTAACAGTTGAACCTACATAATACTAAAGCTTTGACACCCCCCCACCAACCCCTTGCCTCTGACATAAACCTCATTACCAGTGCGTTTCAAATCTTTACAAAACCTTTAGGTGCAAAAAGGAGATAGCTAAATGGCCCCCTGGAGGACATTTGCAGCCACATGACTGTATTAAAATGTACAGGTCTATCTGCCTAAGTACTTGGAGAGGATGAAGTACATCCTTCAAAGTTATGATTTCATTCTATAAACCTATGGCCTGGTTTCCTTGGAGAGCACTTGTACACTTTCTATTTTCTCAGTTGAAATCAGATAAAATATTCCCAACACTGCCTTGAGTTTAAACTAGTTGGCTCTTATCACACATTTAACCATTTACTTATTGGAGACAATAGAGTTTAATGGTTGAGAATCAGACACACACTGATTCTCATGGCCGGTGGCCATGAACTAGCTTTTTGACTCTGAGTCAGCCATCTTACTTTTATGTCTCGTTTTCTAAACCTGCAAAATGGAAAAAAAAACAGTACTACCATTTAGAATTATTATGAAGATTACTTGAGACAATACATGGAAAGCATTAAGCTTGGCTTCTAACAAGACCTCAGTAACTATCATTTTTAATATTTTCTCTTCTGATTATTTTGGTTCTTGGTCTTATCTTTTTCACCTTGGTTGTGTAAAATTTGAAACCAGATAGGAATATGTAAGCTTCAATGGTAATATAGCTGGTTAGTCATTGTATGTCATAGCTTAAACTTCTATACGTACACCTGAGGAATAAATTTACTCCCAACCCCACCCACTATCCTAACCTATCCTACAAGATAAAATTCTGTATTTTTTAGACAGAACCAAACTTCCCAGCCTAATAGATCATGCCTAATGATTTAGGTTCAGTCTGCCTTTCCCACTTTCTAATGGTCATCTCTGCAGCTCAGCCAAGGAAAACTGTTTCCTGTTGAATATACCCCCGCCTGCTTCCTTACAATGAGCCTTTCTCCTACCAGTCTGACCAAATTAGATCTATTCTTCAAAGCCAAGGCCATATGATCCTTCCTCAAGCAAATCTTTCCCAATCTCTTTAAGACATCTTTTTGTCCTTGGAGTTTCCAAAGACAAGAAACATTCCATTTTTGAGAGAGAAGACTACACATGTAGATTTAATCCCAGAACCAAAATTTAGGTGTGTGCCATTTGGCTGGTCACTTTACCTTTCTTAGAATTTTTTTTTTAATTTAGAAAATGGGAATAAGAACACCATCTTGCTTTTTTTTTTTTTTTTTTTTTTTTTTTTGATAAAGCTAAGGTAAAAACCTTAGTTCTATGAATGGGTGAATGGGTAATAGTCACTGGGCTTTTTTTTTTTTTTTTTTTTAGACAGAGTCTTGTTCTGTCACTCAGGCTGGAGTGCAGTGGCGAGATCTCACTGCAACCTCTGTCTCCCAGGTTCAAGTGATTCTCGTGCCTCAGCCTTCCAAGTAGCTGGGACTACAGACATGTGCCACCACATCTGGCTACTTTTTGTATTTTTTAGTAGAGACAGGGTTTCACAATGTTGGCCAGGCTGGTCAAGAACTCCTGTCTTCAAGTGATCCTCTCACCTCAGGCTCCCAAAGTGCTGGGATTGCAGGCGTGAGATACTATGCCCGGCCTATAGTCACTGTTTAATAAAGGCCACCTAGCACGGTCTAAATACCTCACAAACAAGAAATCACTTCCTAGTTGGCTGGATTTGAATATTTTCCCTAACATCCTATGGCTCCTTCATTTACATATTTTATGCATTAGCTAAAGCTGCAGTTTGTTCAAGTAATAGTAAACAAGGTTATTGACACTGGAAAGCTTATTATCCTTGAAAACATGGAAACTTCACAATGCTGCATATTGTACAAGGTGCACACATATTTAAGGACATTCATCAAAGTCATTAGAGTGAATGGGGGTTGCTGGGAAATAGGAGTACTGGGTAAGAAGAAGGAAATGAAACAAGACTTGCAGGAATGGATGATAATAATGAGCTAGGAACTGAGAGTATGATTAACTTAACTTTTTTTTGGCTCCTGAGGGTCCATTTAAAAATAAAAACTCAAGACTCAGCAGCTCACAAATGTGAACTGTAGCATTCCCACTTGTGCTTTTTATTCATAGAACACAGACAATGGGTAACATTTTATGGCTGAAAAGTCTGTCACGTGGAGTTTATAAAGATCTTAGGTTAAAATTAGAAAAGTGACCTGCTCCATCAGAATGGTGTTCTTTGAACTTTATTTGAGATTGCCAATGTATTCCAAGGCCTGAGAAAAAGTTCTTAATGAAATTATGTGAAAAGAGCACACTTTCTTTCAAAAAACATTTTATGACAGGCTCTAAGAGTTGCCAAAGAGAATTAAGTATCTAATCAAATCCTCTGTGAGTGTGGGTAACTAATTAACAGGCCCAACTCCAATCACCACAGCCAGGAGGAGCTAGCAGAGCATTAACGTCCATTTTTGCATGTGCTATCATCAATAAAAATTAGGTATTAGGTAGCAGTAGTTTAACTGAAAAAAAAGGAAAAAGAAAATTCCTTTCTTTCGGCAATCTGTATCTACAGACAAAAATAAAAAGAAAATAAAATGGCACTTTTAATAAGAAGAGTGTCAGCTCCAAAAAGTATCATCCGTGATGCTACAGAGCCACATAAAAGATGTGCCAGTCATACTTAAGATAGCACTGATGCTTAACAAAAAAATAACACCTTAAAAATATGCAGCAAAGCAAAGATAAGAAAGCTTGGAAGCAAATTCTAAAAGAAAAGAATATGCAATTTTCCAGGCTGTCACTGTCCTTTAGGTATTAAGATGATGCTGTGGAAAGGGAACTTGGACCCAAAGTGTGTAACATAAGTTTTAAGGAGTTCAAAGTGAGTCAATCTGATAGCTGTTATTTGACCATCTGCATCTGGTTAATGAGTGTGTGTGCGAATTCCAGAGATCAACCTCACTACCACATCCTAGCGGAGGCTGCCAACAAATTAGGTCACCCTAGCACATTACAAGGAAGGCGGTAGATTGTTAAGAATTTGAAGAACTGTACTTTAGCAAATGAAATAACAATATATTTTTGTGAATTGGTAGCCCTCTAGGCATATATTTGAATCTCAAATACATTTTGAGTAGAAACTTACTAAATTACTTTGGAGTTATTTACCAAAGTTATTTTAATCATCTTCATTAAAAAACATGGCAATACCAAAGTCTGTAATCGACATTTTAGTTTTTTCTAAAAGTTACAGCAAATGTCTAGTGAATATATTTACCTTTTAATGACAATTTTAAAGATGTATAGATGAAAATTATTTTCTTTACGATGTTTACTTTTCTTGGGAAGAGTAAAGAAAAACAGTGGTTCAAGTGTGTTGATTAGCTGGAGATCATGGTTATGTTAATTCAGCATCTCTTATGTGAGGATTGACATCATAGTGGAATATGAGTATGAGTGAGAGAGACAGGGTCCACGGCTTCAAAAAGGTGAAAATCTCTCAGAAGTAAGTGTAAATGGTATCTTCCTTTTTCAAAGGGAATTCACATCAAAAAGCAATTACTGAATACCCATTCTATCCTGGACCCTGGGCCAGCTTCTGGGAGTACTAAGGTGAAGAAAACCATCAAGGAGTTTACAATCTAGACTGTCATGTAAATAAACCAATACGATCAATTGTCAGAAGTGCTATAATGATTCTATATTATGGAGTACAAAGTACATAAGGAAGAAGAAAGGAAAGACAGATCTTTCACATAAGAAATCAGAGAATAATTCACAGGAGCACTGACATATCAGGTGAATCTTGTAGGATAAAATGTCCATGAGTAAATAGAGTTTTTTTAAATTAAGAAGTTTATTATTATTATTATTATTATTATTATTATTATTATTATATTTACTTTAAGTTCTGGAATACATGTGCTGAACGTGCAGGTTTGTTACATAGTAATACATGTGCCATGGTGGTTTGCTGCACGTGTCAGCCCATCATCTAGGTTTTAAGCCTTGCTTGCATTAGGTGTTTGTCCTAATGCTCTCCCTCCCTTACCTAGGCAATATAATCAGATTTACATTTCAGAAACAGAGGAACATATGTGAAATTAAAAGAGACAGATGGGAAAAACATACTTGCAAAAGAGTAGCATCATATTCTATAAAGAACACCTACAATAACAACGAGAAAAAACAAAATATAATAGAAAAAATGGGCAAAGAATATGAATAGGATATTTAGAGAACAGGGACTCTGAATTACTATTAAACATATGAAAAAGATGCTCATTTTTATCAGCAATCAGGGAAATGCTATCTAATTAGATGCTGTTAGCGCAATGTTCAAAATGTAAGTAACACAACAAGCATTGGAGAAGTAAAACTCATAAAGAGCTAAGGGAAACTTATATTTGTACAACTGCTCCAGAGAACAAGTCAGCACTATCAAATAAAATTGAAAATGTCATATTTTATGAGCCAGTAATTCCATGGTAAAAATAAATAAACAAAAATTCTTGTACATTTTCACAAAGAGAAATGTACTGTCGAATAATATATAGCTTAACACTGATGAATATTTCTATTTGGTTTTTCTGCTAGTATTTTCACTTCTACACATCTAAATCTTTTATAACATCAGTTACTATTAAATGATTTATTTTTAATTTAACTAATTCCATTAATTATTTAAACATTACCCAAACTTCAAGCCTCAATGTTTTCTTTGACTCCAGCCTTCCCTGCCTTACATTTGATCACTCACCTAACATAGCCACATACACCTCAAAAATCTCCTCTGTTATTTTCTAACCCCTCCTCCATTCTGTCTTAAAGGATCACTCCCTTATGAATTTTTGCCAGGCATCTATCAAATCTTTCTCCTACTGTTCTACTTGCCTCAAGATCTCCCTTCGGCCCCATTTTCAACCTCACACAGTCCTCCACCCTCTACTCTACTTCACTTACTATAATAGGCAGATAGGTTTTTCTAAATTAAGGTATTAGTCCCCTGTTTAGGAACCATCTGTGTTCTCTACTGAGTACTCCATAATTCTACATGCCTCTCCTGGAAGTCATGGTTTTCTATAACCTGGCCCTTCTTGATCTCATCTTCCACTACTCCTTGACAATGATTTCACATTTACTCAGATATTTGTCACCCCAAATATCTGAATAATTTTCTACGCTCGTATCCCACTGGACTCTGAATCACAGACAAGAAGTCATTAAGACTTCTGCAGATGCTCTTCCTATGGTGACCCTTGCCTATCACTACAGCTTTTTTTCTTTTCTTTTTTTTTTTTTTTTTTTAGTCCAGGGTGATGAAACATTTGTTTTTATCTGGGACACTCAAGATAATTAACTTTTGAAAGCTTTGCAAATCATTATGTTACAACTGAAGCTTTAAAGAGGTCCCAATATATCCATCAAGCACATGATTACTGTAACAATGACACTAAGGTCTGTTGATGGAGCCACAATGACTAGAACACTTTATTTTTAATGAGGGAAAGCTTCTGAGTGTAATAATCAATACTCATCACTAAAGAGATCTGGGCAGCCTTATAATTGTTACAAATTCAATTATTTTAGCAAAAGTAAATACAAGCTGTATAAATACTCCAAGCTGACTTGGCTTTAAAATCATTCTATTAGAATTATGATGAATTTTTGTCCATAATACACACAAATCATGGTTTGTAGGTACCATACTGACTACATTCGAAAAGACTCCTGTAACTGAATAGCAGACCCTGTTTCCAGAAATAGTAGCGTTTTTGCTTACTGAATTCGACAACTACTTAAGACGTTTGTTTTTCTTCTCATTAATATCTAGGTGGTATGATGCTGTCTGTCATGCCATACTTTAGGATAAGTAGTCATTGAATCTTCATTGTAGACTAAAATAGTCTTGAAATATAGTTTAGAATTTAAACCTAGTTTCTGTCTTAAGAAATATACCATCTAGTGAGGACCAGAAAAAAACTGATTGAAACCATAAATCAGTTTATGATTAGTCTCCATGATAATAATAACAAGTGATAGATTACCAAGAATCCAATAAAGTTATGCTTGGGGAAATGAGGTTTGGGGATTGTTACAAGAATTCTGTCATCCTTGTAAAATCTCTGCTGCCATAGCACCCATCCACTGGGCACTCATTCATGACAGTCATAACGCTAGGCCCTTTATGCAAACGATCTCTGCTTATTGCAAACATCCTGCAAGGCCATGTGAGGGGAAATCAGAATTTCACATAGTTAAGCAATTTTCCCAAGGGGATGTAAAGCTTTTACATTTGATGTTTAGAGGAGAAACACTGTAGTTTAAAGAAAGGGGAAACATAATAAAGGTGATCTTATTTGAAAAATAAAACTCGGGCAGAATAGGATTTTCTGCTGGTTGAAGAATAACAGGTGGTAAGTCAGGCAGAAGATTGGCCACCAGTGAGGCCACTAATACAGATGAGAATAGAAAAATATGAATCTTTTAAATTATTAAAAAAACTTTTTTTTTTTGTTTTTTTTTTTGAGACGGAGTCTCGCTCTTGTTGCTCAGGCTGGAGTGCAATGCTGCCATCTTGGCTCACTGCAACCTCCACCTCCCAGGTTCGAGTGATTCTTCTGTCTCAGCCTCCTGAGTGGCTGGGATTACAGGCATGGACCACCATGCCCAGCTAATTTTTTATATTTTTAGTAGAGACAGGGTTTCACCATGTTGGCCAGGCTGGTCTTGAACTCCTGACCTCAGTTGATCCACCCGCCTTGGCCTCCCAAAGTGCTGGGATTAAAAGCGTCAGCCACTGCACCTGGTACCTAATGTATTTTTTAAAAATTTCTTATTTCCATAGGTTTTTGGGGAATAGGTGGCATTTGGTTACATGAGTAAGTTCCTTAGTGGTGATTTGTGAGATTTCGGTGCACCCGTCACCTAAGCAGCATACAAGAACGTAATTGGTAATCTTTTAACCCTCGTCCCCTTCCCACCCTTTTTCCCTGAGTCCCCAAAGTCCATTCTTATGCCCTTGAATCCTCATAGTTTGGCTCCTATTTATGAGTGAGAACATACAATGTTTGGTTTTCCATTCCTGAGTTTCTTCACTTAGGATAATAGTCTCCAATCTCATCCAGGTTGCTGTGAATGCTATTAATTCATTCCTTTTTTATGGCTGAGTAGTATTCCATTATACATATATACCACAGTTTCTTCATCCACTTGTTGATTCATGGGAATTTGGGCTGGTTCCACATTTTTGCAGTTGCGAATTGTGCTACTATAAACATGCATGTTTAAGTATCTTTTGTAAATAATGACTTATTTTCTTCTGGGTAGATACCCAGAAGTGAGATTGCTGGATCAAATGGTAGTTCTACTTTTAGTTATTTAAGGAATGTCCACACTGTTTTCCATAGTGGCTGTACTAGTTTACATTCCCACAAGCAGTGTACATTGTTCCCTTTTCACTGCATCCATGCCAACATCTATTTTTTAAAATTTTTTTTATTATGGCCATTCTTGCAGGAGTAAGGTGGTATCACATTGTGGTTTTGATTTGCATTTCCCTGATCGTTAGTGATGTTGAGCATTTTTTCACATGTTTGCTGGTCATTTGTGTATCTTCTTTTGAGAATTGTCTATTCATGTCCTTAACCTGTTTTTTGATGGGATTGTTTGTTTTTTTCTTGCTAATTTTAAACCTAACATATTTTATAGTTGTACATGATTTATCCTCAGGACAGCCTCGGAAGCTAGAACTCATGAGTCCCATCTTGCAGGTGGAAAAAAAAAAAAAAAAGAGAAAGAAATAGAAAAAGAAAAAGGTTGGTGAAATGTCTTGCCTGAGGTTATTTATCTAGTAAGGAGTAGAGTGAAGTATAGATTCTGGACTAAGTCTATATTTGAGCCCAAAAAGAATGGATTGCCTACATATTATAGAGTTGTGAATATCTGAAGAAAATGATCAACACAGGCCAGCAAATGTAGAAATAACTCACAGAATATTTTCCCTTTAAGATGCCTGAAGGCAAGGACAGTTCCTAACTTTAAAAACAGAGACTCCGGAAAAATGACATTTTTTTCCTTTCTGGCAACTTTTATGCCGCTTTACTGCAGAAGGTTCCCCACAGTGAAACAACTTTATTCTCCTCATCACCTAAAATTGGATCAGCTATTTGCCCTCTGCAATATTTTCACTTCTTCAGTCCCTCCGTTCCCCAGTTTACCAGCTTCCCTTCCTCTGAGCTGAGAGTCCTCATGACCCGGCCCCAAAACACGGTGCACCCTTTCAACTGCGTCTTTTTTTGCTCCTTTCATGCCCTTGATCTGATACCACAGTTGGGTCTTGCCAACTCCTCACCCTTAGTCCGGCTGAACATCTGTGTTTGCTTTCCTTTTCTTTTGTCTACTAGGCATTTCTAGAGGAACCACTTTAAATGTGATGACTGAACCCACTACTTATGCTTTCCAAAGTCAGCTGAGTTTTCAACATCATTCCATAAAACTTTCAGTCATCACCAGCCTATTCCTTATCCATCTTCCAGGAAGACTGCTATCAATTTGTTTTCTAGTTGCCAATCTCTCCTCTTTTAATCTCGGCCATTTATACTTTACTACTTCACTGAGAAAGGTCATCTTTTGTGAACTTCTCCAGTATCTCTGCATTTTAAAATTCCATTCATTTACCTATCCCTTCCTTTTTCATCCTCAAAACGATCTTCTCCAACTCTTTTCTGCACTCTTAACCTTTACTTTCCTTATTATTATAAGGAAATAATATGCATTGCTCGTCTCTTTTTCACACTTTTAATCTCTTTCCCTCCCTCTCTCCTTCCCATCCTCCCTCACTTCCCTCACTCTCTTAACTCTTCTTAATATGGAAACAGGGTCAAGTCTCTTTGATTCTTAGAAACAAAATAACCCTTCCACCTTACTTTCCAACTTCTCAGAAATCATCATGTCTTGTAAACTCTGTCTCGCTACCCACTTTCACCAACGTTATCCTTTCATAATGTAGAGAAACTTTTTCAAAAAAGTCACCACTAATTACCAAATAATGTAACCTTTTCTCAGATTCTTAGGGCATCTAACACTGTTGACCATGACCTTACACATTGTGATTTCTCACACTTGGCAGTATTGACATCTTCAGCTGGATAACTCTTGGTCGTGGGAGCTACCCTTTCCAATGTAGGATAGCTGGATAACTCTTGGTCGTGGGAGCTACCCTTTCCAATGTAGGATAGCTGGATAACTCTTGGTCGTGGGAGCTACCCTTTCCAATGTAGGATAGCTGGATAACTCTTGGTCGTGGGAGCTACCCTTTCCAATGTAGGATAGCTGGATAACTCTTGGTCGTGGGAGCTACCCTTTCCAATGTAGGATAGCTGGATAACTCTTGGTCGTGGGAGCTACCCTTTCCAATGTAGGATAGCTGGATAACTCTTGGTCGTGGGAGCTACCCTTTTCAATGTAGGATGCTTAGCAGCATCCCTGGCCCCTACCTACAGTGGGCATTAACACCCACTGGGTTGTGTTTCTGTTTCCAGACATTGCTGAATGTTCCTAGGGGGCAAAACTGTCCCGGTAAAGATTCACCATTCCAAATGATCTCCTCTCTTGCCCTCCACATATTGTACTATCTTGGTTTGCTTTCTATTTAATTGTTGTGCTTTAAAATCTAATTAATTTTCTTTTCTTCTTCCAACCACGCCCTAAACTTTTGTGGCTCCAAAGTTCCTGAATTTAATGTTTTCACTTCCCATATGCTCTCTCTCACCTTCCTTCAGCCTGTCCATTTCAAAGGTCCTGAGGTTATACCTCTATGCTGATAACACAAAAATTTACATTTTTGGCTTTGACTTCTCTCCTAAGGTCCACCTTAATTCTCCATTTGCCTGAAAATCATGGGAGATATCTGTATATTGAAGATCTATTATGTAAATGGTATTATGCTAATCACTGTTGGAGATAAATATGAATGAACATCAATTCTATCCTTTTATTTGAAACAGGATATTTTGCTCTATTTGCTCTATTGTTCAGGCTGGAGCACAGTGGCTCTATCATGGCTCACTGCAGCCTCAAACTCTTGGGCTCAGGCAATCCTCCCATCTCAGACTCCTGAGTTGCTGGGACTGCAGGTGCAACAAACTACATCCAGATAATTTTTAAATTTATTTTTTGTAGATACGGGGTCTTGCTATGTTGCCTAGGCTGGTCTTGAACTCCAGGGCTCAAGTGATCCTCTTGCCTCGGCCTCCCACAGTACTGGGATTATGTGCTTCAGTTCTACCCTTAAGAAATTAAAAATCTAGAAGTCAGGTAGCGTGATGCCTCCAGCTTTGTTCTTTTTGCTTAGGATTGTGTTGGCAATGCGGGCTCTTTTTTGGTTCCATATGAACTTTAAAGTAGTTTTTTCCAATTCTGTGAAGAAAGTCATTGATAGCTTGATGGGGATGGCATTGAATCTATAAATTACCTTGGGCAGTATGGCCATTTTCATGATATTGATTCTTCCTACCCATGAGCATGGAATGTTCTTCCATTTGTTTGTGTCCTCTTTTATTTTGTTGAGCAGCCGTTTGTAGTTCTCCTTGAAGAGGTCCTTCACATCCCTTGTAAGCTGGATTCCTAGGTATTTTATTCTCTTTGAAGCAATTGTGAATGGGAGTTCACTCATGATTTGGCTCTCTGTTTGTCTGTTGTTGGTGTATAAGAATGCTTGTGATTTTTCTACATTGATTTTGTATCCTGAGACTTTGCTGAAGTTGTTTATCAGCTTAAGATTTTGGGCTGAGACGATGGGGTTTTCTAGATATACAATCACGTCATCTGCAAACAGGGACAATTTGACTTCCTCTTTTCCTAATTGATACCCTTTATTTCTTTCTCCTGCCTAATTGCCCTGGCCAGAACTTCCAACACTATGTTGAATAGGAGTGGTGAGAGAGGGCATCCCTGTCTTGTGCCAGTTTTCAAAGGGAATGCTTCCAGTTTTTGCCCATTCAGTATGATATTGGCTGTGGGTTTGTCATATATAGCTGTTATTATTTTGAGATATGTCCAATCAATACCTAGTTTATCAAGGCTACAGTAACCAAAACAGCATGGTACTGGTACCAAAACAGAGATATAGACCAATGGAACAGAACAGAGCCCTCAGAAATAATACCACACATCTACAACCATCTGAATTTCGACAAACCTGACAAAAACAAGAAATGGGGAAACAATTCCCTATTTAATAAATGGTGCTGGGAAAACTGGCTAGCCATATGTAGAAAGCTGAAACTGGATCCCTTCCTTACACCTTGTACAAAAATTAATTCAAGATGGATTAAAGACTTAACTGTTAGACCTAAAACCATAAAAAGCCTAGAAGAAAACCTAGGCAATACCATTCAGGACATAGGCATGGACAAGGACTTCATGACTAAAACACCAAAAGCAACGGCAACAAAAGCCAAAATAGACAAATGGGATCTAGTTAAACTAAAGAGCTTCTCCACAGCAAAAGAAACTACCATTGGAGTGAACAGGCAACCTAGAGAATGGGAGAAAATTTTTGCAATCTACCCATCTGACAAAGGGCTAATATCCAGAATCTACAAAGAACTTAAATTTACAAGAAAAAAATCAAACAACCCCATCACAAAGTGGGCAAAGGATATGAACAGACACTTCTCAAAAGAAGACATTTATGCAGCCAACAGACACATGAAAAAATGCTCATCATCACTGCTCATCAGAGAAATGCAAATCAAAACCACAATGAGATACCATCTTACACCAGTTAGAATGGTGATCATTCAAAGTCAGGAAACAACAGGTGCTGGAGAGGATGTGGAGAAATAGGAACACTTTTACACTGTTGGTGGGAGTGTAAACTAGTTCAACTATTGTGGAAGACAGTGTGGCAATTCCTCAAGGATCTAGAACTAGAAATACCATTTGACCCAGTGATCCCATTACTGGGTATATACCCAAAGGATTATAAATCATGGTGCTATAAAGACACGTGCACATGTATTTGTACTGCGGGGCTATTCACAATAGAAAAGACTTGGAAACAACCCAAATGCCCATCAATGATTGACTGGATTAAGAAAATGTGGCACATATACACCATGGAATACTATGCAGCCATAAAAAAGGATGAGTTCATGTCCTTTGTAGGGACATGGATGAAGCTGGAAACCATCATTCTCAGCAAACTATTGCAAGGACAGAAAACCAAACACCACATGTTCTCACTCATAGGTGGGAATTGAACAATGAGAACACTTAGACACAGGGAGGGGAACATCACACACCGGGGCCTGTTGTGGGATGGTGGGAGTGGGTAGGGATAGCATTAGGAGAAATACCTAATGTAAATGACGAGTTAATGGGTGCAGCACACCAACATGGCACATGTATACATATGTAACAAACCTGCACGTTGTGCACATGTACCCTAGAACTTAAAGTATAATAATAACAAAAAAAGAAATTAAAAATCTTGTGGGAGATACATAACTAATTAAGTTGTATGAGATTACAAAGCCTGTTAGTGGCAGAGCTGAGAGTAGGGCTCAGGTCCTCTGACTCTCATTTTAATATTCTATTTTCATTTAAAAAGGAAAACATAACTCTACTTTCTGTCACCTGAAATACATAGTGTTATACTGGGAATATCGTACCATCTTATATTATCTTTTTTTCCTAAATAGACACACAAAGCAAGTATAAATAAGATAAAAATCATAAGGCTGTTTCCTATAATGTACATTTATGTCTTACTGAGGATGCATAATGCAGGAACTCATCACTGGCTTATTAACAAGGCTTAGTTTTTAGCTAGGTCCAGGATGAAATTAAAAAAAAAAAAAGGGTCAGAAAACAGGCCCATGTTGGTTAATGGACCACAGAAAGCCTTGGGAAGGAAAGTTTGCATTGGAAGAGTGGGTTTGGGGGAAGGTCTTAAAAGTAGGCCCCTGGAGAGCCACATAAGGTTACAGGGCTAGGCACCCAGGGGAGGATTATAGAATAGGGGATGGAAATGTCCAAGACTTGTTTAACTAACTCACTTGACACTTTTGTCAGTAACATGTATTCTTCCTACCTAAACACAGCTTTGGGAGAGTCCTGGCTGCTTACCTAGACTATTTATTAAAGAATAACAACAGAAAGTGACTTAAAATTACCAGAAAAGAAAAAGATAAGAAGCACCAAGATAAATTTTTATTCCCTGCTGCCAGTTCATATAGTAAGCGTAGCATGAAGCCACTAGTATAATGGTATAATTATTATATAATGGTATAATAATATATTTATTATGTGTACCTTTTAATATGCTTCAAATGAATCATTTTTAAAAAGTAGATTTTAAATGCATTTTGCAAAAACCATTTGATAATTGCTCATTCCATTGTCTCATTTTTTTAAATCAGTGTTTTTGCATTAACAAATGAAGAAAAAACAACTCACAGTGTTTTGCATAATAAAGGTAAACAGCAATATTTGAGTCTTTCCATAAACTTTCTATTCTGCATTTGGAATATGAGCACATGACTCATGAAAACCAATATTTGCTTGGTTTTTTTTTTTGGTTCCCAAATAAGATGCATTTAATCAACAAACATTTACATTTTAGAGATGGCATAGAGAAGAATCCAGGATCCACCTTTTATTATTGCTTTTTCACTCACAGATATATTCATCATCAGTTCAAAATGGAGGAAGCATTCTTTCCCTGCATTATTCAAAACACAGTTGCTGTTGAACAAATTATCTGTTACTATAAGACCTTTCATATAAGGAGAATATCTAAATCATTTATGAGGGAGTTCCACTTTTATTATTTGTTTAATATATTAGAGTTCTATACATGACAAAATAAGGTGCTAAACTGCACTCTACTGAGATGAAATCACATACAACACAGACACTGGACTTCAGATGGCTTACAGATAGGGCTACAGGTGATCACAGTCCATGGACATAAGTTCAAGTGGTGATTTTCAGAGAGGCTTCATTTTTCAGATGAGTATGACTGAAAGGCTGCTGTTGATAACATGGAACAATTCAGTACCTTTAATGGTGCAAACATTTACTGTTGTTCCCAATGTTGAGCTGCGCTTCACCTGAGCTTATTAGGTTCTCCCACAGGGATGTGGACAAGATCTGCTAACCTTGAACTGAGAACAAATAATGTATAGTTTAAAACAGAAGCCTGGTAAATAGGCCCTAGGGAAAGCTGCTGCACTGCATGGGCAGAAAGAAAGAGAAGCAAGAGAAAAGGGAGAGAAGGGCTGAGAGAAGTGAGACCCAGATCACAGACTGTAGGTTCTGTCCTGGCTTCAACATTAACCAGTTTGCCTGACGCAATGACCAGTGCTTAGCAGCTGCTTAATAAATGAATGACCTCTTGTAATTCTTTCAACCTATTGACTGTAATATCCCCCAGTATATCTTCGTTTACACTCTCAAACTGTTATGGTGAGAATCAACATAAATGGTCTTGTAGAAATACTCTGAGGACTAAGAATGGTTCACGTATTTCCAAAGAAATTATTATCATTAGCATTATTGCTATATACAGAAAAAGGCCAATAAGAGTCAACAGTCAATAAGTAAAAGAATTAAAGAATTCACCCAGGCTACTTTCTATCACCCACTAATTCAGAGATAGATGGAAACATAGATTTTAACCGGCCTTGCAAGTGACCATTTGGACCAAACCAAGTGACTCAGCTCAATAAGTTCAGATCCCTAGAAAGTACTAGCCTGAAGGTGACCATCCAAACACTGAACTCCAAAGGCGAAACCACAGGAAGCTCTGCAAGGTTCTAGGACTGGGAGATGTGGGCTGATACTATTAAAAAGCCAGTCTTTGTTGAAGTGACCCCAAATCTAGCCATGCAGAACCTAATATCTATCTTTCCAGTCCTTTTCTTTATATTTCTGGACATTATAACAATCTTGGCTTCATTTAGATAAAGGAAAATAGTATGTTTGCCCCTTTAGAGTAATGTATTAAACACTGAAATGTGAAGAAATTCTACGTATTCAAAAATTTCATACAGCTACTTTGATTTTTTCCTTTGCTACCCCATTTCCCTCAAATAAACAAAAAGAATAAAAACTCTATTTGCTTAGCTTTCTTCTTCATTTATGTTGAATTATCTCTGTGACTTTGGGCAGCTTAACCTATTTGAGTCTGATTGTCTTCATCTGTAAATATGGAACATTATATCAACGAATATCTGCAGTTTCTTATTAACAATTATTTTAGGTTCAGGGGTACATGTGAAGGTTTATTACATAGGTAAACCCATGTACTCATGTACAGACTATTTCATCACCTAGGTATTAAGCACAGTAGCCAATAGCTATCTTTCCTGCTCCTCTCCCTCCTCCCACCCTCTACCCTCAAGTATCTGCAGTTTCTATTAATTCTAATGCTGGCTAAGAATTAAGTGAAGTCCACAAGTCTAAGAAAATATCAACACCAACATTTCTAACTCATGCCATTTAAAATCATACTTTAATCTTTCCTTCTTGCCAACATTAAACATAATATACAAGACACAAATATGTTCTAAGCCACCTGATAATTTACATCAACCAAAAGCAAAATGGTTTGTTCTAACCCTTTCATAAGAGCCCGGTCCCAAGATCCTCAGTGTACTCCTATCTTCCATCAGCCTTCCAATAAAAAAAGATAAAATAGCAAACTTTTATAATAGACTCAAAAAAGTGTCAATGCATTTATAAAAGTAAGCAAATACCTTTACCTTTTAATAAAAAACTAGTTTCAAATTGGCGCAGCAGTAGATGAGAAGAAATAGGAAGTAATTTTTACCTGAAGTAAAATGTCACACTGGGGGATTAGCTTATTGCCTATTTGTTCATTTGCAAATAGAGTCTCCTATATACACCTTCAGTTTCTGAAGCAAGCCATAATATGCAAAAAATACCCATGAATAACTGTGAATATGCAAAATACCCGTGAATGTGCACCAATAAGTTATTTTTGATAAATATCAAGAAGGGAACATATAATGTACACAACATTATATCTCTTTATTTCTGAAGCAAGTATAACAATGTTACTTAAAGCTACTTATTATTTTTAATCCCTAAACTTATTTTGAAAACAAGAACGTCCAATGATTCCTATTTGGAAATCATAGGAAAATATGTCCATAAGACATTTAAGATGAATTATTACAATGAGTCTGCTATAAAAACAGTATATTTTATGGGTCAGAATGACACAGAATATTTATCCTCATCATAAGAAAGAGTCTCTGTGAATTAGTTATGGCTTTAGTTCTCTAGAGTAATCAATTCTCTCCTCACTTGTGGGATAAATATATGTTACTGCAGTCATCATGCATTCATGTAGACTGCTAACGGCTTCAGACTTCTCTTAGGATCATGGGTATATAAATTTATTTCTATGGGTGTAGCCCCACACAATATACATACTGACTATATTGAGCAAAAAATTGCAGATGTAATCCCAAATCAGTGCAAAATGTCAAGAAATAATATATATATAATACTCTTATTGTCCCGTCAAATATTTTGCTTTCTCATTTAGTCAAATAATGTGGATCAGGACACTTCAGCAAAATTAAATACCTGCCTCTTAGGAAATCAGACTACAGCATACGAAAGTTGAATCTCCCATTTTTTCCTATTCAGAAGATCATTTATAAACTCCTCAGGCTCAGGGGCATACACTAAAGAAACAATCCAACATATTAAAGGAGACCAATGTGAAGTCCTATGGTCCACATTAAATGGACCTATTTAATGGAGAATCAGAAGCTTCCCAACAAGCTGGGTCCCTGGCATGCTCTTGTCTGCATTTCATCTTACAAGAGCTCTGGTAGATAGCAAAAGAAAAGGATGATATTGATTTTGACAAATATTCTTAAAATTTATTAATATTAAAGAAACTATGTACCTAGCAATTTACATTGCTTCTTTCTCTGCATACATTGTTTTACAATTGTCTAGATAGGCTAAGGAAAGTAACAGTATTGGTCTACATGGGTCAAATATCCATTAATTAATGATTTGTATCTGAAATGTCTAACTACTTGTCATCCTATAGGTAAAGCATCTGACTCTTTTCCAGTCTATATTAAACTACATGGCCTCATACGGCCAAAGCTATGAAACAAGAATCCTATGAAATGCATTAAAAATAGAATTAAATAGCAATGAAGAGTTTCCATATTACATTTCTTAATAAGCAGCATGTCTGATTTTCATGAGTTCATACAAATGCCTGGGGTTTTTATTTCTGACTTGGACCATGAGCTCTCATCTACTTACATTTTTTCTCAGAGCCTGAGAACTTGTGTCAGTGCTTTTAGTTGTTTCTCATATTAGCAGTGTTTTTTGAATGAGAGCAATTTCCTGGTGTGGTTTTCTATTTACAGAGCGATGATTCTATTTTCTTTTCAATATTTTTAATGACTACAAATAGAATGGTTGTAGTAGTCAATAGGTCTGTGACACTTGATTATCCCAAATTAAAATGACTGTGGAAGAACAGAGCAAGAGAATTTAGTGCAAATTTGATGGCTACTGGGGGAAAGGATAACTGATAATATGTTAATCAATAACATGATTTATAACCAAATCCCTAATAATTTATTCCCCAACTGTGTTGCATTTCTCTTTAATGTGATACAAAAACACGTAAGATAAAATTTACCATCTTAACTATTTTAAAGTGAACAGTTCAGTAGTGTTAAGTATATTCACATTGTTGTGAGACAGATCTCCAGAACTTTTCATACTGCAAATTTGAAACTCTATGTCTATTAAATAATCACTTGCCTCTTTTTTTTTTTTTTTTTTTTTTGAGACAGAGTCTTGCTCTGTGGCCCAGGCTGGAGCGCAGTGGCGCGATCTCCGCTCACTGCAAGCTCCGCCTCCCGGGTTCACGCCATTCTCCTGCCTCAGCCTCCTCGGTAGCTGGGATTACAGGCGCCCGCCACCACGCCCAGCTAATTTTTTTGTTTTTGTTTTTAGTAGAGACGGGGTTTCACCGTGTTAGCCAGGATGGTCTCGATCTCCTGACCTCGTGATCCACCCGCCTCGGCCTCCCAAAGTGCTGGGATTACAGGCCTGAGCCACCGCGCCCTGCCCAATTGCCTCATTATAATAATATCTTTATTTGTACATTGTTTTATTGTTTTTAAACTACTTTCACACACATTAATTACATAATTTGGCATTTCCTTTACCTCAAATGTTAATGATACTAGATAAACTTGAGCACTTACTGTGTGTTGGGCACTGTGCTAAGTGCATAATAGGTATTAACCTATTTATCATAATAGGTGTTAACCTATTTATCATAATAGGTATTAACATATTTATCAAATGAATCACTGTGAGAACTACATTTTTCTGAGTTGATGGCTTTACATGTCCACATGTTCCATTCATAGATTTAAGCAGCCAAGAGCAGATGAATTCTTAAATGTTAGACATGAAGATGAACAAGTGTGAGTGTGTAGGAGAAAAAACCAGAAGGAAGTGAACTGGTGAGACCATTTACCTCAGAATATTCACCTAGATTTCTGTTTGCTTGTAACTAGAGACATGGCTATATATAGGTGAATATTCTGTTTGCCTATAACTAGAGACATGGCTAATTCCCAATTTATTAGTCTTCCCATCTATTATGGTGTACTACCAAAGATTAAGACTTGGATACAAATGTCTGGGATTTTTATTTCTCACCTGGACCGTGAGCTCTGTGATTTAAGACAAGTTACTCCTCCTCTCAGTCTCATTTCTCATCTAAAAAATGTAGGCAACAATGCTGTGTCTCAGGAGTTATTGGGAAAAAAATCATATGTGATAATGGATGAGAAAGACTCTGAAACAATAAAGAGCCTCTCAAATATATTGGTTTATACACAGGAGCCCGGCTAAGGGCAGGATTCATTCATTAAAAGGTATGTGTATGAAGCATTGTAGCTAGAATCTTATTTTCCCAACAACTCGCATGGAAATATTTTTCCAGCAAAAAAAAAAAAAGCGTCCTGAAACATATTTAAATTTCTGATTCCACGGCAGGTTCAGTAATGTAGTCCCTTCTCTGCTCCTGTAATACTAAAAATTGTTTTTCTCAGTTTACAAATTCCCATAAAATAGAATTCTGTATTTTAAAGTAGAATTCTGTGTTTTAGGTTGTCAGTACCAAACCAAGTTTAAGACATTTCTGTTCTATTAAAACTAATCTTTCTGTGTTTAGCTCCAGAAACTGGGAAAAAGTGAAAAATTTTAGGAAGAATCCTTTCCAGCAAAACTTTTGCTTATTTCCCCTACATATTAATATATGCATTTTGAATATCTTTTGACTGCTGTGTGGCTTTCTCCATTTGGGTGGCATTCTTAGTGATCAGAAGCAATGCCTCCTCTGTTTTCTACTTCTGTCCACACAGGCCTGAGAGTAAAATAGTGTATATAATAAGCATTAGTAAACATCATCCCCATCTGTACGTTCCCTGATCCCCTTTTCTATTTACCATAATAGGTCGACTTTTCTTTCAATTTAATGCATTACTGGAATAGCCTATTAAATGTTCTCTCCCTGCCCAATTTCTCCCCCTCCATCTATCTCATGTAATACTATCGCAAATCTGAAGCTCCACTCTGATCCCATGACTCTTTCGTTAACAAACTATGAGCAGATCCTTACTCTCAAGAGCTGTGCCATTCAACAAGTCAGTCAGTAGCCACACGTGACTACTGATCACTTGAAATGTGGCTGGTCCAAATTCAAATACCCTGAAAGTGTAAAATGCACAGCAGATTTTGAATAGTTATTTTAAAAAGAATTACTGCATCAACAATTTTTATATTGATTACATGTGGAAATGATAATATTTTGGATACGTTGAGTTGAATAAAACATATTATTACAATTAATTTAACTTACTTCTTTTACATTTCTTAATGTGGCTACTAGAGAATTATAAATTACATCTGTGATTTGCATTACTGCTTCCCATTATTTTTCTATCAAAAGACACTTATCCAGAGCATCAGTTTTAAATCTCTGGGCCTGGTATAATTCCCAACCTCACCTTTACTTCCTACTACTCTTTTTTATATAGCATATGTTAGCAAAATTTTAAAAACTCACGGATTTAAATACATTCCTTTCCAAATACTTATTTCTCTTTGGGTCCTTCGATTTTACCTATATATACCTTGGGGAATTATTATTACTTCCTATCTTAATCTATAGACATATTTCTTTCAAGGTAGTACAGAAACGAAATTTTTATTTGTATCCTTCTGAGCTCCTAGGATGATCCTTTTCCTGTAGATAATATGATTGCCAGACAGAAAGGAGGATGCCAAGTTAAATTTATATTTCATATAGCCAATGAAGAATTATTTAATATTGCAATATTTACGACATACTAAAAACATATTTATTGTTTAACTGAAATTTAAATTTGACTGTGTGTCCTGTATTTTATTTGCTAAATTTAGCAAATTTACATAGTAAGCATTCTATGAGTCTTTATTAAATGATTACACTAGAAAGCATACATATAAAATATTTAAGTGAAAATTAAATGAAGGAAAAAGTAATCTGTATGAGTGACACAGAGCTCTGATTATCTTATGAACTTCCTGGTTCACAATTTCTTAAAAACTAAACCAATAATTACAATACAATCATAAAGCTGAGCTAATAAGAAATACAAGTACATCTTACTGTAATTTTCCTTTTATAAAGCAGTGTTCATATATTGAGGCAAACTTGGAAAAAAATGGATGGAAAACATTCCTGATAACAGGCAGTGGGAAATGGCATCACCAATGGGAAGACATGTCTGCATCTTTCTTTCGTGACTTACCAGTTTGAAGCAAACCATGTGTAGGTTTTATATGTAATATTATACCTTTATATTTATAAGGATTTGTGGAACTGCTGGGCTAATAGGAGAAGCAAGAGGTGCCAGTAATTTCCATTACAGACCTTCCTTCACTGATACCCAGATATGAATACACTTTTGTTTAAAGCTACCTGATTAAGCTTTCAAACTATTAGAGACCTATCATTTGTTTATCTAGCACTATTGCTCTCCTGTACAGCCTGTTAAAGCTGTACAATTACTCTATGAAGATTCTAAGTAGGAAGAAAGACTTCAGCTGTTTCATTTTTTTTTAGACATAATAAAGTAACACCCTCAATCTCTGTGACTAAATCCAGTGTCCCTGTAAATTTGACTCATACCCTCATATAAACTTAGCACTAAGCTAAACAATTCATTTCGAAAAAGGCAGAGTCCTGTTGCTGAATTTATTTTCCTTAAGTATTTTTCAGCAGTAATAGGACTCTCTTTCAAATCTAATTGAAATATTGCATTTTCAAATGAATACATTTAGATTGCAGGGCCAATTTTCTTGTGTTTTTTTCCTGTGCTAGCATCATCTTAAACTTCGTAGGAACTCTGCATGTACACTGAATACTCAGTGAGCTCTCCCTAGGATTAGATGTGCTGATCAGATCCAGATGGTTTCACTTTACAACTTCTGCCATCAGGTCATCAAACAATAAATTCACATAACTTCTGCATCCTGAAAGCAAGTGTTCATTCTTTAGAATCACTTATAATTAAAAATATATGTTACAATGTCCCTACTACCCAAAGTGATCTACAGATTCAATGCAATCCCTATCAAAACTCCAATGACATTTTTATACAGAAATAGAAAAGACAATCCTAAAATTTATATGAAAACACAAAAGACTCACTATAGCTAAAGCAATCTTGAGCAAGAACAAAGCTGGAGGCATTACACTACCGGATTTCAAAATATACTACTGAGTTACGGTAATCAAAACAGCATGGCACTACCACAAAAATAGATACGTAAACCAACAGAACAGAATAAGAGCCAGAAGCAAATCCACACTTTTAAGGTCAATTAACCTTCAAAAACCATGCCAAGAATACACAATGCGAAAAGGAAAGTATCTTCAATAAATGCTGCTAGAAAAACTAGATATCCATATGCAGTTTGGACCATTATCTCACACAATATAAAAAATTAATTCAAAAATGAATTAAATACTTAAATGTAAGACCTGAAACTATAAAACTATTAAAAGGAAAAAGAGGAAAAAAATTTTTTGACATTGATATTGGCAATGATTTCTTGAATATGACACCAAAAGATGAGGAAACAAAAGCAAAAATAGACAAATGGGAGTACATCACACTAAAGACTTTCTGCAGTTAAGATAATAATCAATTGAGTGAAAAGGCAATATAAGAAATGGATAAAATATTTGTAAACCATTTATCTAATAAGGGATTCCTATCCCAAATATATAAGGAACTTAAACAACTCAGCCAGAAAACAAATAATCCAATTAAAAATGGGCAAAAAATGGACATTTCTCAAAAGAAGACATACAAATGGTCAAAAGGTATATAAAACATGTTCAACATCACTAATCATCAGGGAAATACAAATCAAAATAGGCATGAGATATCACCTCATACCTGCCAGAATGGCTATTATCAGAAAGACAAAAGATGAGGTTGGTGAGGATGTGGAGAAAAGGAAACTCTTCTACAGTGTTGGTAGAAATGCAAAATAGTATAGCCACTGTAGAAAACAGTGTGGAGGTTCCCCAAAACTTAAAAATAGAACTACCATATGGTTTAGCAATCCCGGTTCTAGGTCTATATCTAAAGGAAATATCAGTATCTCCAAAAAATATCTGTACTCCCCATGTTCATTAAAGCACCATTCACAATACCCAAGAGACGGAATCAATCTAAGTATCCATCAACAGATGAACGGATAAAGAAAATGTGGTATATATACACAATGGAATACTATGTAGCATTAAAAGAGAATGAAATTCTGTTATTTGCAACAATATAAATGAATTTAGAGTACATTAAGTGAAGTAAGCCAAGCACAGAGAGACAAATACTGCATGATCTCACTTATATGGGAATCTTAAAAAGTCAAACTCATAGAAGCAGAGAATGGAATGGTGGTTGGCAGGGGCAAGTGGGTGGGGAAAATGGGGAGATGTTAGTCAAATGGTACAAAGTTTCAGTTATGCTAGATGAATAATTTCTGGAGCTACAATATAGAGCACAGTGATTATAGTTAATAATCTATCGTATACTTGAAATCTGCTAAGACAGTATATCTTAAATGTTCTCACCAATCCCGCCCCCCGCCCCACCCCGCAAACACACACACAGGTAACTATGTGAGGTGATGGATGTGTGAATTGCCTTAATCATGAAAATCATTTCACATTGTATATGCATCTCAAAATATCACATTTTACACCGCAAATATATATAATTTTTTTCAATTATATCTCAATAAAGCTGGAAAATAAATAAAATAAGCTTGGGCTGCCTTTAAAATACACACACACACACACACACACACAAACACACACACACAGAATTTGATCTCGAGTTCTGTGAGTTTTTCTTCACCAGTTACCATAGTGAGGAAAGGAATTAAAAGGGGTTATGACTCTTATGTTCTTTTCATTTTAGTGACTCTATAATTCCAGTTAAAACTGATGATCCCAGACACCCATATCTTCTGGTCATCATCATCTTTCATATTTTAATGGGTAGGGACTGCACCAAGTTTTAAAGATTAGATTTAAATAACCACCTAGTGAATACCAATTCATGGATCACTGACTCCAGAGGTCTAAGTAGCAAAATTAATTGCTTGTCGACTTGGGCTGGCTACATCTGATTATATTTCTAATACAAAGTTTGTTGTGTGGTTTCTTGCAGAACTCCACAGATATCTGCCTGCTTTGTTACCCAAAAGTGAATCAACATATTATCTTTGTTATAATTTTGAAATACTTTATTGATTTCTTTGCAAAAGTAGAATCAGATTAGTGGAAAGCATAGCCCATTCCCACAAGTTAGCTAAAGTCATTTAAGAAGAGAAATAACAAGATCAGAATCCTCTCAGTTTTCTTTGTTTGTTTCAGTTAAATAAAACTGAAGTTCCAAGTTGCAAGTTTATATCCCGGTACAGAAATGGCAAGAATCCAAGGGCCCCTGGAGTGGCTTTTCTAGTTTGAATTTCTCTGTTTACATTTTTACCATTTTCGTAAACTGGTAAGTAGATGATATTATTACTTTCTCAGTCAACTTGAAACCAAAAATATTATCTTTGATAAAACATTTCTATATTTATTCTTGTTCAGTATTTCATAGCATTGCAAAAAATGGGTTCTAGCTACATTGCAGTGAATAGATGAATCTTGATGAAATGATAGAAACACATTAGCACCCATTGACTGACATTTTGTGACTATGAAGCCTCTAAAATGCGGAGAATCTCCCAAGCAACATGAATTGGCTTTCACTTTCAATTTTGAGGTCCTATTAATAGCCATGAACAGTTCTAATTTTCCACATCTAATGCCACATGATCTAATCATTTCAAACATTACAATATATTGGCAGGTGAGGGGTGACAGTGATAGAGTAATTGTGTGCTAAATAGAGACAGACAGCTGGGGTCTTAATCTTGGTTCTTCCACTTGTTATGTGGGCTTGATCAATTTCCTCACCCACCCAGACTTATCCATAAAATGGAGATCATCATAATAATATCCATTTTGTGAAGTTGATGTAAGTATTAAGTAATGTTTGTTAAAAACAGTTATTATAAAATAAAATTAGATCAAATTTTAAAACTGTACAAGTTTATACAAAAGAACAGTTTGCAAATCAGGAGACCTGAAACTATAGGTGGTAAGAAGCCCCACTCACAGCAGTGACAGCCCAGTTTATAAAGCATGAAGGAGAGAGTATTTTGACCTTTTTCATGATGAGCTATTATATATTAACATTCTTTTGAAGGCAAGGAGAGCTGTTTAAGATGACTTGTCTATAGCTGATTGATTTCATTTCACTGTCTCATGCTAATAGAAATGATAATGATATGGTTTGGCTGTCTCTCCACCCAAATCTCATCTTGAAATGTAGCTCCCATAATCCCCACATGTCATGGGAGGGATCCGGTGGGAGGTAATTAAATCACAGGGGCCGGTTTTCCCATGCTGTTCTCATGACAGTAAGTCTCACGAGATCTGATGGTTTTATAAAGGGCAGTTCCCCTGCACACATTCTCTTGCCTGCCACTATGTAAGACATGCCTTTGCTCCTCCTTTGCCTTCTGCCATGATTATGAAGCCTTCCCAGCCATGTGGAACTGTGAGTCCATTAAACCTTTTTCTTTATAAATTACCCAGTCTTGGGTATTTTTTCATAGCAGTATGAAAATGGACTAACACATATAGCTTACATTTTGTTTCATTTATGAATAAAGTTAGCATTTCAGGAAAATCAGGATGACTTAGTTTTGGCTATATGGTTATGGGTGCTGGTCTTGAGGTATACCTAACGTGTGGTCTCTATTTTTTTCAACACAGTCAATCTCATTTAAAGGTTCTGTGTTTGCAAATTTGCCTGCTTGCTAAAATTTATTTGTAATCCCCAACTCAATACTTGCAGTTATTCAGGGACATGCACCGGCGTAGATTGGAGAAAAAAATCTGAGTCACCCAATGGACACATTCCTAGCTTAAGTTGAACAAAGTGAAGTTCTACCTTCTTGTTTCAGCTCTCATAATGTTAACAAGTGTCCTTTTCACAGTTAGTGCCATGTTTCTCACATTTGTGTGCATTTTTTTTTGGCAATTTCACCCAAATACAGGGTAAAGTGCTATGTAGTGTTCCTAAGCTCAAGAAAGCTGTGATGTGCTTTAGGAAGAAAATATGTGCATTACATAGGCTTTGTCCAGGTATCTCAGAAGAGCCCCTGCTTTCAAGCCAGAAGCCACAGTGTTGATACCAAGGCTGCCAGCCTCCTAAAGGATGTAAGAATCCTTTCTATCTGATTTCCCAGGCTGAAAATTGCACAGCCAAAAGGTTATGAGCAGCCTTGCATGATCAAAATCACAGACATCTCTCTCTCTTCTGCGATGTCATTGAAAGTCTTTGGCTAGATTGAAGGTTTCCTTGGTAGGGGCTCTGACCTAATCCATCTCTCTCTCAGGCTTATCAGCCCAATCACAGTGCAGAGTCTGCAAGAGGTTTGGTGATCATTTTCACATCTTCTTACTCACGGGCTTTAAGAGCACAGTCATTAGCATACAGCAGCTCCTGGATTACTGTACAAAGGGCTTTTAATCATGCTCTAAATCAATTGAATTGGAGGAATTTCTCAGAGAATCTTCTTGGTGCCAACTTTCATGTCCTTTATTAAGTACTCAAGCACAGCTGCATAAAACCGATTAAGCCTGAACCTAGTGTGCTTCCAGTTCTTGACTTCACTGGCAAGAACGAATATGCCCGATAATCTCATCAATTACGACAAAATCAATTATATGTCAGATAGAGATTTTATATCAGTGACCCCCAGGCAGTTAAAAATGCTTAATACCTAATCAAGTCCCAAGATCACTGAGACCATCACATAATTGTGTAAAGTCAATGAGTAGAGCTTTCTGGATTTTTGTCCCCAGATTTTATTTTCCAACATCCTGCTATACTCTGTTGGAGTCTAAAACCATATTGAAATTACAAGAAGACAGCACTGATAGTGATATTCAACATGAAATCCTGATTCAATCAGGCCTGGTTTTTGTTTGGCTGCTGCTAATGGAGAGAAGAGGCTATAGTAGCTAATAACGTTAAATTCCCTTCCCTCCCCTCCTCTCCTCTCCCCTCCCCTCCCCTCCCTTCCCCTCCCCTGCCCTTCCCTTCCCTTCCCTCTCTTTTTCTTTTTAATATAGAGACAGGGTCTTGCTAAGTTGTCCAGGCTGTTCTCAAACTCTTGGCCTCAAGTGATCCTCCTGCCTTGGCCTCCCAAAATGCTAGGATATTACGGGTGTGAGCCACCATGCCTGGCTCCACTTTTTCTCCTTAAGGATGTTTCTATGAACATCCTTAAAACTTAATATGTCCATGCAAAGACTATGCAAGAATAATTAAATTATTATAATTCCTTATAAGCATTATAGTTTCCCTTTTCCTAGCATTTACCATGTATCAGGCTCTGAATTATGTAAGTCAATTATCTTTCATTGTCATTGTTGTGTTGTGTAAAGTCACAATCAACATTGAATTAGTGAATATTGAACTAGAGCTCCTAGGGGAAATACAGACTTAGGTTCCTGCTAGCCTCTGGTATTTGGATTTCTGAACGGTTATGAAATTGATCCTGTCCTAGTACAGCAAAAGAACTCACAGAGGAACTTATAAACATCTGTGCCTCAGCAAGAGGTCTGCCAGCATTAGGAAAATGCTCATAGCAGTAGTTTTAAAAGGTTCAAAAGCCAGAGAAGAATGGAGACCAATATACTCTACACAGTGGAATTCTGTAGGCTGGTACCCATGTCCACAAAGAAATGATTGCTGCTCAGTGCTTCTCCAAAGGATACAAAAGATCTTATCAGGCTCTCAGGTTCACAGGATCCATGACTCAAAGTAGTGCTGGACTCCAAAGCAAGCTAAGCTCAAAGATGACTATGATGTCGTTACATAATTAAATCTAGAACTGTGGAACATGTCTCATTCATTCACTTTTCCCCATTGAAGGGCAGTAGGTAATGAAGAACCACTAGCTCTGAAGTCATACAGGATCTGATTTTATGGTTTGTTAACTAAATGACTTTTGGCAGGTTACTAAATCTCTCTTGAGCAGTCATTATCTTTATCAATAGCCTGTTAGGATTGCCGTCCACACTTGATGAGATTCTGTGGATGAGGTAACAGTGCCTGAAACATATTGGGATCTTAATAAACATCAGTTTGTATTCCTTTGTTTCAAGTAGCTGATCAAACAATGATACTTGAATTGGTGTGGTAGTGCTTCTGTTCTCTACTTTGCATTGGCTAAGAACTAGATTCTTGGTTCTGATTTGCTCCTGTTTTAAGGCGTAGCTTTCATTTTACACCTTAGAGGTGACTTAATCACCCTGGCCTTGTTTTACATGTCCTGATTCTGGTCTGTTTCCCAGCTCACATAAGCTTTGATGCTTATAATGGCTTGCAGGTCTCCGCCCTCTGATTCTTGGCATATCTCCAAATATGAAAGGCAGAATTTCTTAGATCTGCTCATTCATCGGCTTTCCCCAACAGGGAGCATGTATGAACACCATCAAATATCCCATTTAAATCTATGAAATAATGTGGGATTGGAGCTTTCTTCACAATATTTCATAAAGCACCACTGAGAGAACTTTTCCTTAACCAAATCTTACCTCTTTGTCTAGTTAATAATTAAAAGTCATAGTTTCTCTAATTTTCCACAGCGCCTCACATAACGTTAAGCTTCCTGAAAAAACTAAAGTGGCCAGTTTTTAAGGCAAGGCAACTACCAGTTTTACTTCTGAACCACTAATAAGATAGTCTGCCAAATAAAGACACATGTCGTTTTATTTAGAATTGTTCACGAGAAAAACTGTGTTTTATTAAAAATAGTTCCTTTTCCTTCTTTTATCCTGAAAAAGCTTTTTAAAAAGATTATTAAAAAATCGAGATTTTTGGTTTTCTAGTGGTGTTTTTACATTTTATACAATCAGTGTTAAAATACAGTTATCTGATTTACAATCAATCATGTCTCTTAAGATAGCCTGAGGATCTGCCATATTCAACTTGAGGAAACAGAGCCACATCATTAATGCTGTGTTGGGAAGTGGTGAAAGAACTAAGAACAAGACTTCTGTTCTTGGTTTCTAGAACTCTATTCACTAAGTCATGTGCTTCCACTTATAATTTCTAAGACCCATATTTACTTAGGAAACCATGCACATTTCTACAGATTTTTTTTTTTTTAGTCATGTACAAAATTAATTTGAATGTGATCTGCCTCTCCCCAGTCCTTGGGGTGCTATGGCTGGGGTGTGCAATCCTGGAAGGTCCAGATAGTATTTCATTCCACTCATCCGATCTCATTTTAGCCACAGGCTCTCTCAGCCTGTTTCCGGGGAAGGTGAACCCATTTCACTCTTACTTGAGCCATTTTGTCACCTACTCTAGCACTCAAGACAGAGCTCTGAAAAAAAGTGCTTCACAAATGCTGTTGGCTGCATGCAGTGTGAGAATCTTTATGTAATCCTCTTTTCTAAACCTTTTTTTCCAATAAAATATGCATGTAAGTAGCTTTGTCAAATGTATAAACCAATTTTAAAAATTCACGGAAGCAGAGAAAGTTCTATTTGAATCTCTAACCTAGAAACAAAAAAAGAATAAAATCAAAAGGGAAGAAAAAAAGAAAAAAAGAGAAAAGAACATGAATATTCAGTGTCTTTACAGAACAGAAGGGATATTCTCTTCTTCAATAACCCATTAGGAGAAGTTACTCTTTGAGAGTTAAGGAGTAAGTTGACTATATATTATATAAATTGAAGTCAAACAGATGGGTAACTAATGAAAACTCAGTGTATATTTTTTACATAAATATTTCCATTATATAATTATTTAAGAGAATGTAGAGCAACATATATAGTAAGAAGGGCACTGGATTTTCAGACATACGTTAAAGATGTAACTCTCAGTTCAACTACTCCAGATTAGCAGTGGGAACAAGTTACCTATTTTCTTGAGGCTGCTGCTTTCTGTGTCTCATACAGTGGCTGTGATTACTCCTGCCTTTTTCACAGGCTTGTGAGGATTAAATATAATCGTATTTGTAAGAAGTTAAGTTGTTTGAAAAAAATAAGGTCATAAAAATGCAAGATACTATTATGTGTACATAGACTCTTATTATATCCCGAAAGAGGCTGCTGCAGGTAGTCTCCTAACCCATCTCTCGCCTTCCTTGTTATACCTTGTCTTACTCAGCAAAAACTGGCAATGCAAGTTGGGTCATCCAAAACACTGCTTTGCTCATGATGTTTCCTGCTCAAAAGCAAAAACAAGGCCAAGACAAACAAATTATTTTTCTTTTCTTTTTTCTTTTTCTTCCCTTTTTTTTTTTTTTTTTTTTTTTGAGACAGAATCTCGCTCTGTCACCCAGGCTGGAGTGCAGTGGCGTGATCTCGGCTCACTGCAACCTCCGCCTCCTGGGTTCAAGGAACTCTCCTGCCTCAGCCTCCTGAGTAGCTGGGATTACAGGCACACACCACCACGCTTGGCTAATTTTTGTATTTTTAGTAGAGACAGGGTTTCACCACGTTGGCCAGGCTGGTCTCGAACTCCTGACCTTGTGATCTGCCTGCCTCGGCCTCCCAAAGTGCTGGGATTACAGGTGTGAGCCACCGTGCCCAGCCACAAACTCTTTTTATACATGAATTATACCATTGCTCACTAGATAAAGTATAAGATCCATGATATAGTTATCTCTTTCCAATTTTACTTTTGACATAAACTCTCACTTCACCTGGGCCAAACCATTCTCCTCACTGCCTATAATCCTGCCATGAGATTTCCAACTCCTCTGCCTCTTTGTGGTGTTACCTATCCTTCAAGATTGATTTTCAACATAGCATCTTCAAGTGACTCAGCACTGCACAAAAAGTGTAATATTTGATTTCCAGCTTTTCTTCTGCTACCAAATAAGCTTTGTGATCTTGAGCAAGTTAACTAAACTCTCTAGACTTAAACTTTATCAACTTAAGAAGGGAAAATAGATTCCCAAGATCTGGAAAAGAGAATTCCCCTTTCAACTCAGGACACGCAAAACAAACAAATTGCCTCCATGTATTGTGTATTAAGTTTTTTTTTTATCACAAATAGTGCTTACCCTAATATGGAGCATTTAACTGACATTTGAATTCATTTGCATATAAATCCCACTTTCATAACTGTCCACCTGGGGATATAAATTCATATTCTTGTGATAATGGTTCATATGAATTTCAATTGATTTCTATCATGAATCATGGCTAAGTAAAAGTTTTCCTATCCATTTCCTCCTTTCTCAAATAGAATATATATAATGAAGTTGCATTACTAGGCAAGGAACTGAAACACTGTGTAGAAGGGAGAAGCACATAGAGAAAGAATTTGGGTTCAGCAGGTTTTCTAATAATGATTCAGTTTTTGGCCTTGGATGCAACTCTCTAAAGGAAGAAGTGGCAATAACAGATCATTGTTTCTCTGGATTTATGTGCAGTAAATAAAAATGTCCACAGAACATTTCGAAAAGTGCTACACATATTTTCATTAACAATGATAACTAAATACTGGCATGAAATAATTTTGTTAAGAAGCACACTTTATAAATCTTAGCTTCCCAGGAGATGGAAGGACTATAGCCAGTACATAGTAATATGAGGTTCAAGTCATTGGTAATGAATGGGAAAGCCATTTTCGTTTGGATAAAATGGTTTAAGTTATTCCTTATTCCACTTTCTCTCGTTACATTCTTGTTTTAGGTAACTGACAAGCATTATATAGCCCTGTGCTCTGTTTATTCTCATGTCAGTAGACAAAGATTGGTAGAAAGACATTCATATCTGGGTCCTGTGTTTTATCAGAAAAGTAAGAGGACAGGACTCAGTTACTCATTAAAACTTCCCTTGTAATGCAGGGATATCCTGTCTTCCTATTAAAGCTGTCACATAAGTGTTTATTAATACTAGTCCTTTATTAATCTTAATGATATATAACATCTACACTTATGTGCTTGAACTAGGACTTGAGTCAAAATCACAATTGTTTATTGTCTATCAGAAAACTGGATCTTGAATAGATTCACTCATTCTTTCAACACCTGCTCAATGTCTATCAAGTGCTAGGCACTCCTCTGGTCTCCAGGGCTATAGCAGTGATAAAGACAAAGTGCCTGACCTTATGAAACTTGCATTTTTATGGGAATGGGACAGAGAATAAAAAATAAACAAATTAACATATAGCAAAGTAGAGATAAGTGCTATTAAAAAAGAAAAACCTGGCCGGGTGCAGTGGCTCATGCCTGTAATCCCAGCACTTTGGGAGGCCAAGGTGGGCGCATCACAAGGTCAGGAGATCGAGACCATCCTGGCTAACACGGTGAAACCCCATCTCTATTTAAAATACAAAAAATTAGACGGGTGTGGTGGCGGGCGCCTGTAGTCCCAGCTACTCAGGAGGGTGAGGCAGGAGAATGGCAAGTACCAGGGAGGCAGAGCTTGCAGTGACCCGAGATTGCACCACTGCACTCCAGCCTGGGCAACACAGCGAGACTCCGTCTCAAAAAACAAAACAAAAGAAAACAAAAAAACCTTGAGCAGGATAAAGGTGCAGAGTGATAGGTCAGAGAAGTACCTCTGAGCAGGGGACATTCCAGCAGGGACCTAGGTGAAAATCTCTGACAGATCATGAGTCAATTCGTGAACAGATATGCCATGGCCAATACTAAGCATTCTACTCTGTGCTAAGTTCTAGAAGAAATACAGGATCCAGCATTTAGAATACTACATTCTGGGTGGACAGACTGGCCCAGAATTCATAGAATTACTAGAGACGAATTGATGATAAACTGCATGTCCGTGACTGTTTACAGGATGGGTCTACAGATGAAACGTTGCAGGATTTGCTGAGGATCTGGGGGAAGTTTCACGGAGGATACATCCTCTACTTCTAAATATCAAATAAACTAGGAAAATGGAAGATGCTAGGAAATAATTCACAAGCAACACAGTCAGTGAGTGTAAAATGTGAGAAAAGGCATGTAGTAGGGCAGAAGAGGGGAGAGCTGACTGAGGGCCACTGGAATGCTGGGCCCTGCGGAAGGTGGGTGGTGAAGTTATGTCTTTGAATTCTCTAACAACACTTGAGATGTCACTATCTGAAGCGTTGGTTAAGTTTAGAGAGGATAAGATCTCTAGAGAGGAAAAGGGGAAGACCTTCTCCTTTCTAAAGGGGACTCACAAGGGATAGCGAGGAAACTGGCCACCTTGTAATGTTAATGTTTGGGAGAGTGGAAAGAAATAAGTTTGGATTGAAAACATGAGCGCACAGTATTTTCAGGGAAGTGTGTCTGGGGCCTGAAATAGGGAAACTATGAAGAGGTGGTGGAAGGAACCCAGGTAGGAAGTCTTAATTGTGGTTTTGAGTAGACACAGAGGGCTTGGAGAGTAAAGTGTGAATTTGAGGACATGAAGACATGTTGGTTGTAGGAGAGTAAGGATATGCAAGTCTCATTAGTCTCATCTTTTTTTGTAAGAGAATTTTAAAAAGGGAAAGTAGACCGGGCGCAGTGGCTCATGCCTATAGTCCCAGCACTTTGGGAGGCCGAGGCAGGTGGATCATCTGAGGTCAGGAGTTCAAGAACAGCCTGACCAATATGGTGAAACCCCGTCTCTACTAAAAATACAAAAATTAGCTAGGCGTGGTGGTGGATGCCTGTAGTCCCAGCTACTTGGGAGGCTGAGACAGAAAAATTGCTTGAATCCGGGAGGTGGAGGTTGTAGTGAGCCGAGATCATGCCACTGCACTCCAGCCTGGGTGACAGAGGGGGACTGTGTCTCAAAAAAAAAAAAAAGGAAAGTAGTAGAAGGCATAGACATGGAGTAGTTGGGAAGGAGATTCAAAAGGTAGACAGGATCTGTGCGGTATAATTGGGAGCCATTTACTGTACAGTGCCTGGACTTAGCAAGATAGTTAAATATATATAATTGGGCTTTGCAACCTGAGTAATTCCTTCTAGCCACATTGTTTTCCAGGACTTCCAGCTTCTTCCTTTCCAATGTCAACTTTGCCTACATATGGAGTGCTTTTGTAGAACTCCTGCTTGCAATGAGGTGCCACTTAAATCTGAACTCTCCTTCAGCTCCTTTTCCCATTTAAACTTCTCTCTCCTGTGTCCATTTCTTGTAATTCTGAGTAGTAATATTTTATGGATAGTAGTCGTTCAATACATTCTCTTAACAAGTTAACAAAGCCATTGTTGTTATACTCCTTTGTGGTAAAGAGAGACATTAAATATGGGAATTTCAGTGTTCATGACAAACCAGTGGGAGAGTAACTGAAGAGATAATATGTCTTTGAGTTCCAGAGAATTGGTAAAAAAATAGTTTAGGATCATTGACAATTAAATGGTGGTAGTAATACTGCTGGAAACATGGTTTGATAAACACAATACAACAGTTTTAGAAATGAATTGAATGGTTGGCTGATACAAATATTATGAAGTTGGAGGTATTTCTTTAATTTCTTAATGAGTCTTTTAGAGCTAGCCAGCATTAGTAGCAATACCTGGTGATAAGCCTATTGCTTGAGGGACTGTGCCCAGAATCTTCCAGGTTAACACTTTTCCCCAGCAGCTACCACAGACACCCATGGTCTTTTCTTCCCTTAGAACTTGTTACTGTCCTAAACATTCTGTTACATTGCTAGCTGCTATCAATGAGGTTCATCAGAAGACTCTAAAAGAACATCTTTGGCATTGATGAGCTAAACAAAACTAAAATGGTGAAATACTTCCCCTTTGGTATGAACTGATTTGTATCCTTCCAAAATTCATATCTTGAAGCTCGACCCACCAATATGATTGTGGTTGGAGATCAAGTTTTGGGAAAGAAATTAAGGTTAGAAGAGGTCATAAGGAGGCCATCATGGTGGGATTAGTGGCTTTGTAAGAACAGAGAGAGAAGTTGCTCTCTCTTCCTCATGTGAGGACACAGCAGGGTGGCCATTTGCAAGTCAGGAAGAGCCCTCACCAGGAATTAAGTCAGCTGGCACCTTAATCTTGAATTTGCCAGCCTCCAGAACTGTGAGAAATAAATGTCTGTTGTTTAAGCTACCCAGTCTATGACATTTTTTATAGTTGCCCAAGTAGTTAAACATACCCTTAGAATGAAAAAAAATATTAACCTGATTATCATTCTTCCTATTGCCACTGGTATTTATTTATTTTGTTTATCTAAGGTAATGAATAATAATCCTAATGTCTTTAAATGATTTTTCCAGATTAATAGCTTGGAGTAGATCTCTCTGTGTTATGTATTCTAATAATGCAATTTTTACCCAAATATAATTAAAATTACTTATCAGCTTTTTCTTCAAATTCTCAGCTTTTAAATTTCACTGACAAGGTGAAGTCACAAAAGAAATAAATGTTTTAGTCAGTCTAGGAGCTGAGATTCACAAACCTTAAATTTCCAGACACTAAGGCAGTCTGTCTTTTCTTAAAAAGTTTCACATGGGGGTTGGGGAATTGGGCTCTTCTAAAATTGAATCCTGGGATGATGAATCTCAAATGACTGGTCTCTGGTTTTCTTTTCTATGAGAAATGAAATCTCTTTGGGATTCTTGTAAATAATTGCATTATGTTGTCCCAGAAAGAGGGAAAGTGTAGAACACATGGTATCATTTATGGCATTTCTTATGACTCATTAAAATAACAAAAACCATCAGGACATTGTGCTCTCTCAACAGTCTGGATACCAAATGTGTCAACCATGTAATTTATTTAATTAGCAAATATTTGTTGCAGCACTCTTATGTGTCAGGCAATGTGATACAAGCTGGGGAAGTAAAGATAAATACTACTAGACACTGTCATCCAGGTAGCTTAAAAGTCTGATGTAGGAAACAGACACAAAGAAATAATTGCACAGCAATGTGAGGAGCAATGATGGAGACAGATTTTACAATGGTTATGGAACTCTGAGGAAGTAGTGCCTGTGTTATTCACAATTTTTGAAATGTAGGCTGTCAGGAGGAATATAGGTTCACACATATGTACAACCATGGGACATACACTTGAAATGTCCTATTAGTTAGAAATATTAAAGTGTAAAGCAACCTCGCAGAAACATTTTTGCATTAAGCTCACCATGGGTGAAATAACTGTCCTCAACGAACTCAAATACATCATCTGCAGAGACCCCAATGACTCTACAAACATTGATGGATATGAAAAACACCTTCAATATGGATCTATTAGTACTGCTAAATAACAGCATGGCCCTGTCTTTATATTTATCTCACACTTCAAACTATCTTATTAAAAATCTCTGAAATATCACTGTGTTTACTTCTGAAATGGAAAGGATCGCAGAATTTAATTGGCAGTTCTATCTAATGTAGCCTTATAGCAAAATGTTCTGGGAAAATTTTATAGGTACAGTCCTTCCTCGGTATCCTTGGGGGACTGGTTCCAGGATCCGTGAAATATAAAAATCCGCCATTTCTCAAATCCTTCATATATATTTGCATGCAATCTATGCCTGTCCTCCCCATACTTTAAATCATCTCTACATTACAATGTAAATGTTACATAAATAGATGTTATACTGTACTGTTTTTTATTTGTATTATTTTTCTTGTCATTTCTTATTTTTTAAAAGTATTTTCAATCCCCAGTTGGTTGAATTTGCAGATAACAGAATCCATGGATATGGGTAAGGTATAAAAATATACTTACCTAAAATTTTTTTTTCTTGTAGTGTTTTTGTTTGGCTTTGGTATCAGGGTAATGCTGGGCTCATAAAATGAGTTTAGAAAGATTCCTTTCTCTTCCAATTTTTTAAAAGGGTTTGAGAAGGACTGGCATTAATTCTTCCTTAAATGTTTAGTAGAATTCACCAATGAGGCCATCTGGTCATGAACTTCTCTTTGTTGAGAGGTTTTTTATTACTGTGTCAGTCTTGTTACTTGTTGGTGTTCTGTTTAGAGTTTCTTTTAGTTCATGTTTCAGTGTCGGTAGGTTGTATGTATCCAGAAATTTATTCATTTTCTTTCTAGGACATCCCATTTGTTGGTGTGTAATTGTTCACAGTAGTGCAATGATCCTTAGTATGTCTGCAGCATCAATTTTTAATGTCTCTTCTTTCATTTTTAATTTTATTTGCTGCTTCTCTCTTTTTATCTTAGTCTGCCTTTTCTTAGTTTGTCAATTTTATCTTTGCAAAAAACCAACTCTTAGTTTTGTTGTTAGATTATTCTTCCAACCTCTATTTTGTTTATTTCTACGCTAATCTTTATTGTGTCCTTCCTTCTGCTAACTTTGGGCTTAGTTTGTTCTTTTTCTAGGTTCTTGAGGTAGAAAATTAGGTTTTTTGAGATCATTCTCCTTTTTAATGTATGTGTTTATTGCTATAAACTTCTCTTTCAGTACTAATTTTGTTGCATCCCATATGTTTTGCTCTGTTGTACTATTATTTTCACAGTTTCAAGATATTTTTGGATTTGCCTTTTGATTTCTTCTTGGTCCCATTGGTCGCTCAAAAATATATTATTAAATTTCCACATATTTGTGAATTTTCCAATCTGCCTCCTGTCACTGATTTCTACTTTTATACCATTGTGTTCAGAAAAGATACTTGACATGATTTCAATCTTCTCAAATTTGTTAAGACTTGCTTTGTAGCCTAACATGTGATCCATCTTGAAGAATGTTCCGCATGCACTTAGAAAGAATGTGTATTCTGCCACTGTTGGGTAGAATGTTCTATATATGTCTTTTGGGTCCCTAATAAACATAGATGATAAAAATCCTCAGTGAAATACTACCTAACCAAATTCAATAGCACATTAAAAAGATCATGTAGCATGATCAAGTGGGATTTATCCCTGGGATGCAAGGATGGTCCAATATACACAAAACAATAAATATGAAATACTACATTAAGGGAATGAAGGATAGAAAGCATATTATCATCTCCATAAATGCAGAAAAGGCATTTGACAAAATTTAATGCCCTTTTATAATGAAAAATGCTCAATAAACTGGGTATAGAAGAAATGTACTTCAACATAATAAAGGCCATATATAACAAGCCTATAGCTAACATCATACTGAAAGATGAGAAGCTGAAAGCTTTTCCTCTGAGATCAGGAACAAGGCAGGAATGCTCTTATCACTTATCTTAAACGCAGTACTAGAAATCTTAGCCAGTGCAATTAAACAAGAAAAAAAAATAAAAGGCTTCCAATTGGAAAGGAAAAACTTAAATTGTCTCTATATGCAAATGACATGATTTTATATCTAGAAAACTCTAAAGTCTCCACTAAAAAACTGTTGAGATAAACAAATTCAGTAAAGTTGCAGAATACAAAATCAACATTAAAAAATCGGTCATGTTTCTATACATTAACAATGAGCTATCTGAAGAAACATTAAGAAGTAATCCCATTAACAATAGCATCAAAAAAATAAAATACTCAGGAATAAATCAACCAAAGAGGTGAAAACCTTGTACACTGAGAACTGCAAAATGTTGATGAAAGAAATTAAAGACCCAAATAAATGGAAAAATATCCCGTGTTCATTGATTAGCAAACTTAATACTGTTACTGTTCTAATGTCCATAGTACCCAAACTGATCAACAGATTCAGCGTTATCCCCGTTAAAATCCCAATGTCATAAATGGAATAAAAATCCTAAAATTCATATAAAGCCACAAAAAAAAAAAAAAAAAACAGAAGCACCAGAGTGATCTTGAGGAAAAAGAACAAAGCTGGAGGCATCACACTTCCTAACTTCAAAATGTATTAGAAAGCTACAGTAATTCAAACAGTATGACACTGGCATAAAGACAGACATATAGATCAATGGAACAGAATAGAGATTCCAGAAATAAAACCACATGTATATGATTAACTTATCTTCAAAAAAAGGTACCAAAAATACACAGTGGAGAAAAGATAGTCTCTTCAAGTGGTGTTGGGAAAACTGGACATTCACATTAAAAAGAATGAAATTGGGACTGTATCTTATACCATATATAAAATCCCACCCAAAATTGATTAAACACTTAAACATAAGACCTGAAACTCTAAAACAACTAGGAGAAAACACACAGGAAAAGCTTCTTGACATTGGCATTAGCAATAATTTTTTGGATATCAAACCCAAAGCACATGAAACAAGAGCAAAAATGGAGTGGAACTACATCAAACTAAAAGTTCCTGTGCAGCAAAGAAAACAGTGAGCAGAGTGAAGAGACAACCTACATAATGGGAGAAAACAGTTGCAAACCTTTTATATGATATAGATAGTAAGATAGATAGATAGATAATATCCAATGTATATAAGGAACAACCACATCTCAATAGCAAAAAGACAAATAACCTTATTTAAAAATGGGCAAAGGACATTAATGGACATTTCTCCAAAGAAGACATATAAATGGTAAACAGGTAAATAAAATAATGCTCAACATCACTAGTCATCAGGGAAATTTAATGAAAGCACAGTAAATTATCACCTCACACCTGCTAGGATGATCATTATTTAAAAAAAAAAAACAAAGATAATAAGTGTTGGGTAGGATGTGGAGAAACTGGAACCCCTGCACTCTGTTGGTGGGAATGTAAAATATTACAGCTACTATGAAAAGCAGTAAGGAGGTTCCTCAAAATATTTAAATGGAACTAACATATAATTCAGCAACACCAATTCCAGGTACATGTCCAAAAGAATTGATAAAACAAGATTGCAAAGAGGTATCTGCATTCTCATGTGTATTATAGCAGTAGTCACATTAGCCAAGATAACAACCCAAATGTCCATGGACTGATGGATAGATAAAGAGATGTAGTATATACAGTCAATGGAATATTATTCAGCATTAGAAAGTAGGAAATCCTGTCATAAAAATAAACCTTGTCATAAACCTTGAAGACATTATGCTAAGTGAAATAAGCCAGGCATAGAAGGACAAATACTGATTGCATCATTCCACTTATAGGAGGTATCCTGAAATAGTCAAACTCATAGAAGCAGAGAATAGAATGAATGGCGGTTGCCAAGGTCTATGGTAAGAAGAAATTGGGGAGTTGTTCTTCAATGGGTTTAAAGTTTCAGTTTTGCATAATGAGTAAGTTCTTAAGAGCTGCTGTACAATATATCGCCTATAATTAACAGTATGGTAATGTGCACTTAAAATTTATTAAGTGGGTAGATCTCATGTAAAATATTCTTAGCGCGCACACACACACACACCTGCACACAAAAAGCTGCAAAAAATAAAACACAAAGGGACACAAGGAAATTTTGGGGGGTGATAAATATGTTTATTTCCTTGATTGGGTTATGGTATCATGGGGGTATTCATATGTCCAAACTCTTCAAGGGTAATGTGTTCATTAAACGTGCAGTGTTTTATATATCAGTATTATCTCAGTAAAGCTGATACACGTGCACACGCACATACACATACACACACCATGCTAAAGTTTGAAGACTCTATGTTTTAAAGCTTACTGTATTATTACATTCATAAATTGGTTATGACTTCACACACCATTAATGCAGATGATTGTGTATAGCTACTATCACATGATAAATACAAAGATATTTTTCCCATGTGTTGTAACTTAGGGGTTTATACAAATTTATAATCATAATGAGTATAAAAAAAAATTTAAGGTCTAGGAGTAAAAACATCTGATAGGCCAGCCACTTTATTTGTTGCCCAGTTAAAAAATTTATATAACTACCTCAGTTCTGGAAAGAGGTTATAAAATGTCTATTTTCCCTCATGTTAATTGACTGTACCATATTCATATGTTACACCAGACTCACTGTGATCTAATCAACATTTAACTAAGGAAAGAATACATAAATGATGAGGAGATAAAACTTTTGTTTCAGTCATGGTTATGTAGATCATCTTCCTACAAGGCAGAAATGTAGTCATTTTGGTGACCAAATTCCAAGAGACCTCTACCTAATTGCTTCCAAAATATTAGGGAGGCAGCTGGTGTTGAGGTGCTGAAAGCCAGGTGATTTGGGGTAATTGTCTGCTCTGCTTCCGTCTTCAACACTGTGCATCAAAGGACAACTGTTGGTGACTTTTCTATCTGAAGTCATGGGTACACAAAACATATTTGCTAGTGTAAGAACAAATACTCAAGGGTGATAAAATTCAAGTGGTACAACATGGAGAAGAGGCATCCTGAAGGGGAGGAATTTCTTAGAGCTGTAAGTTAGCAGAAGGGGTTCAAGTAGTTTAAATACAATGTGATTTCTGAAATCTGTTGAAAATCATCTTTAAACCTTCATTGTCATGTTTAAAACATAACCTTGTCTATGCTGCACATAATAGTCTTCTGAAAATTTTACACCACATATGCTCTTGAAACAGAGGAATGAGCAAACGTATTTGCCCCTATTTTGAAAAGTATTTTTTTTTACTGAGCTATTGAATATGAATTATTTAATCTCTACTTTCCCATGATGATTGCTATTCTGAAAAAATGCATGGAGGCTATTGAAGATTTTTGTCAAATAAAGTATGATGTTTTTATGCTCAGTATTTACTATTGGACTGAAGGGATTTGTACTTCTGAGAAAATATGCACAGCTAATCTATGGTTCTCTAATACACACTGATTCCTAAAACAACAGAAACTCTGCCAGATGCAAAGATTTTGCTTAAATAGTAACTCATGGCTTCACCTTCATTTTTAAACGATATTATCGTACTTATTTTTGCTAATAGTGCCATTTCCCAAGTGTCAAAGAGATGGGACATAGTGCAGTTTGGATGGTTGACTGTGATCTCATTTTCCCAAGCACCATTTATGTCATTTTTTGTTGTTGTTGTTAAAGTTAAACAAAGCTCTAGTGAAAAATTCAAGGTTATTATTACTATTGTTTTAATTTTTTAAAATTCAAGATTATTTAAAGGCTTATCCTAGAGGGTCCTTTGGTCTCCTAGCGGTCCAGGAGAGAAAGACCACAGGATGAATGCACAGAACCACCTGATACTTGGACCTGTGAAACAGGTCTCATCAGCAGAATCTCCGTGTAATCTGACACCTTTATCCACAATGACTCTTTTCTATAACCCGAGGTTCATGTTGGGAAAGATCTCCTCCTGCTGCAGAGGGAGGACATTAAAATGGCAAATTATTTATGCTTATGTCCAGTACTACCCCTAGAGCTGAGTACAGGCAAATGGAAACATATCCAACAGCCCCTTAAAAATTTTTATATTCTTGCTGGCATTATGGTAGCTCCATTTTTGTGCTGAGCTCTGTCACTGCAAAATCTTGAAAGTATTTTATTTTAAGTAGATTGTGAGATGGGATCAAAGGAACCATTTTTTACAAAAGAAGCTTATGTAAAGAAGCTTGCACATTTCATGACTGCACTGCTTTCATCTGTGAATGCTTTAGGAGAGAGTAATAACGATGGTATTCCTGGATCAGAATCAAACCACTGCTTTACTTCAGAATCATTACTAAACTACTTCTTTTAGTGCAGGGCTGGCACTCTTATTTTTGGCCATTCAATGCAGATGTCAAGGAGGGAGAGGGCTGTCTGGAGAGTTTGTGTGTGAGTTGGAAAATGATTAGGTGTAGACATGACTCTCTGCCTCTCTCTAACATAAAGATAATCTTTTTTTCCTCTATCTGCAATTTCTTGAATGGGGCCCAGTATTCTTTCAATTCAGGACTCTTGCACATGTTCTTTCTTTCTCTTGCATGCCTTCCACTCTCCTGACCTTATTCACCTTTCATCTTGCTCCCACATATTGTCCAAGTGCCATTCTCCTGCAAGGCCGTGGGCATCACCCCTCTAGTCTGGATTAGACAACATCCTATGGACCCCAAAGTACATTAAGCACATGCCACTTTGCCCTGTCATTGCTATTTGACTCGTTTGTCTTGTTCCTGCAGACCACAAATATCTTGAGAACAGGAACTGGTGCCTTTGCAATATTCATTGTTGCTTTTCTAGTGCTTTAAAAGGTAGAGAATAAGTCTATATACAAGGGGCGGCCGGGTGTGGTGGCTCACGCCTCTAATCCCAGCACTTTGGGAGGCCGAGGCGGGCAGATCACGAGGTCAGGAGATCAAGACCATTCTTGCCAACATGGTGAAACCCCGTCTCTACTAAGAATACAAAAATTAGCCGGACGTGGCAGCACGTGCCTGTAGTCCCAGCTACTTGGCAGGCTGACGCAGAAGAATTGCTTGAACCCGGGAGGCAGAGGCTCAGTGAGTTGAGATCATGCCACTGCACTCCAGCCTGGAAGACAGAGTGAGACTCTGTCTCAAAAACAAACAAACAGGCAAACAAAAAAACAAGGGGCTTTATCATGCCACCCAAAGAGTAGGAAAAATTGTAAGCAAAAGACGTTATGTTTTGAAACATTTGTGTTATGGTTTTCCATCTTCATTAAATATTTATTTTAGGATAATTGTGCATAGGTTATATATAAAATGTTCAAAATAGATACATGTAAACTATCAGTTGCACAATTAGATGGTAACTTTTTAAAAAACTCAAATCAGTGACTCCTCAGTTTTTAGGTTTTCTTTAGTTGATTAGTTTGTCTACACGTCTTCAGAGGAAAATAATTCACTAAACAGCATGACTAAAATAAACTTGTTTAGAAGGGGAAATAAATGGTAGGAAAAGACATTAGTTGTGCTTGATGCTGAATAAATGCTTAACTGTGTGTAATTATGGCAAAAAGTCATTTAGGAAAGTCTATCTGTATGAAAATTCAAGCCTTATACTTTTCTCAAGGTCATTAGACTTTGGGTGTCCTGTGACACTTGTATATTTGGCAAAAGGCAAAATACTGTTAGCTACCACTTTTTTATTTGTAACTTTTTATTGTGGCTGCACAACAAAAAATTTACATGAACTTCACTGCATATTTTTTAAGACAAGAAGATCTGAGTAAGAAAAAAACAATTCTGTAAGTATTGCTGCTTTTCTGAACCAGAAGCACTCAGAAATTTTGTCTTCTCTGAAGTTTTACACTAAGGAAAGGCATTACTGTTTTGTAGATGCATGAATTTATATTCCAGGCCATGGAACTTCTTTATCACCTCTGTTGAAGTTCCAGATAAAACCACAGATACAGCCTCCTGATTGTCAAAGCACATTTGTAATTGAGCTCTGTATTGAATAATTTTCTTTAAGCCAGGCAAACTTCAAAAAGAACAAAGGGCATGTGGAAGTCAGACACAAAGCTTCCCAAAACATGAAGACAGATAGATTTTCAATAATTTAAATGGCCAATTTGGATTAGTTAAATCCTCTGATTGTTCATTATAATCTTTAATCAAATCATGTCATCCTAAAAGAGACTATAATATACACCACATGCTTTATTCTAAGTTATAAATGTATAATTTTCAGTTAATTTTAAAAACCCTCTACACGAAAGACTATTCATCATTGAAATTTCAAAACTGAGTTAACCAAATATGCTTAGGTGCATAAAGAACAAAGGAATATAATGAATAATCAAATGCTGGAAAATGGAGAGAAGACTTTTCTCTTTACCTTTTAAGGTCAAGATGGCACATGCCAGGCATGTGTATCAGAATGAAATTATTCCTTCACTTCTTTCCCTGTGTAGCATCATTAATCAATTACAATGCTCAATCATAATGAGCCCAGAGGTGACCTCAGGATCCTTCTCAACACAGCACTCTGGGAAGCCACAATTATTCTACTGGATCAATTAAACCAAACACCAATTCTGTTTTTAGATTTCCTTTGTATTCTTGTTGGTATAATTGCTCAGTGATGTCTTAGCAGAGTTATAGACTCATTGTTGAGACGCACTAGAGGCCATCTGCTTTAAAGAATTCCTGCAGAATCACCCAGAAAAGGTGTCACCTCCATTAGAAACTTTTAGTAGTAGAGAGCCCTGTCTCATTAGCAACAGACTACTTTCAGACAAGTCTTAAAAGGTTAGAAAACTATTCCTTGTGTTGATTCAAAATATGTCTCGCTGTAATGTTCTCATAGAGTAACTCTAGAAAGGATAGACTTTAAGTATTCAACACTGAATTATCTCATAGTTTCTCTTTCTAGTCTGCTCTTTGGGGAAAATATATTTAAATGCTTCCATGGTACCTCACGTAGCATAGTTCCCAGACCCATTTCCATCTCAAAAGGACAATTACAATCAATATTTTAATTAACATGTTCTCCATCTAGTGGAATACAATTTTTAAGCAGCAAAAAACAAAGTGACAAAGGATAAAGACTGTATATCTCTGAGTTCTCTGCATTTAGACATTGATATGGTTTGGCTGTGTCCCCACCCAATTCTCATCTTGAACTGTAACTCCGACAATTCCTACATGTCACAGGAGGAACCTGGTGGGAGGTAATTCAGTCATGGAGGTGGGTCTTTCCTGTGCTGTTCTCATGATAGTGAATAAGTCTCACAAGACTTGATGGTTTCAAAAACTGGAGTTTCCCTACACAAGCTCTCTCTCTCTTTGCCTGCCGCCATCCTTGTAAGATGTAACTTGCTCCTCCTTGCCTTCCACCATGATTGTGAGGCCTCTGCAGCCATGTGGAACTATAAGTGCATTAAATCTCTTTCTTTTGTAAATTGCCCAGTCTCGGATATGTCTTCACTAGCAGCCTGAAAACAAAGTAATACAGTAAATTGGTAGCAGTAGAGTGGGGCACTGCTAAAAAGATACCCAAAAATGTGGAAGCAACTTTGGAACTGGGTAACAGGAAGAGGTTGGAACAGTTTGGAGGGCTGAGAAGAAGACAGAAAAACGTGGGAAAGTTTGGAACTCCCTAGAGATTTGTTGAACGTCTTTGACCAAAATGCTGATAATGATATGGACAATGAAATCCAGGCTGAGGTGGTCTCAGATGGAGATGAGAAACTTGTTGGGAACTAGAGCAAAGGTGACTTTTGTTATGTTTTAGCAAAAAGACTGGCAGCATTTTGCCCCTGCCCTATAGATCTGTGGAACTTTGAACTTGAGAGAGAAGACTTAGCGTATCTGGCAGAAGAAATATCTAAGCAGCAAAGCATTCAAGAGGTGATTTGGGTACTGTTAAAGGCATTCCATTTTAAAAGGGAAACAGTACAAAAGTTCGAGAAATTTACAGTCTGACAATGTGCTAAAAAAGAAAATCCCATTTTCTGAGGAGAAATTCAAGCTAGCTCCAGAAATTTGCATAAGTAATGAGGAGGCGAATGTTAATCACCAAGACAATAGGGAAAATATCTCTAGGGTATGTCAGAGAACTTTGCTGCAGCCCCTCCCATCACAGGCCCAAAGGTTTAGGAGAAAAAAATGGTTTTATGGGCCAGGTCCAGGGTCCCCATGTTGTGTGAAGCCTAGGGACTTGGTCTCCTGTGTCCCAGCTGCACCAGCCATGACTAAAAGGGACCAAGGTACAGCTCTGGCTATGGCTTCAGAGTGTGTAAGCCCCAAGCCTTGACAGCTTCCATGTGGTGTTGAGCCTGCAAGTACACAGAAGTCAATAATGGGGGTTTGGGAACTTCCACCTAGATTTCAGAAGATGTATGGAAACACCTGGATGCCCAGGCAGAAGTTTGCTGCAGGGGTGGGTCCCTCATGGAGAACCTCTGCTAGGGCAGTGCAGAAGGGAAATGTGGGTTTGGAGCCCCCACACAGAGTCCCTACTGGGACACTGCCTAGTGGAGCAGTGAGAAAAGGGCCACTGTCCTCCAGACCCCAGAATGGTAGATCCACTGATAGCTTGCACTGTGCACCTGGAAAAGCTGTAGGCAGTCAATGCTAGCCCGTGAAGGGAGCCAGGAGGGAGGCCGTACCCTGCAAAACCACAGGGGTGGAGCTGCCCAAGACCATGGGAGCCCACCTCTTCCATCAGTGTGACCTGGATGTGAGACATAGAGTCAAAGGAGATCATTTTGGAGCTTTAAGATTTGACTTCTCTGCTGGATTTCAGACTTCAAGGGGCCTGTAGCCCTTTCATTTTGGCCAATTTCTCCCATTTGCAATGGCCGTATTTACCCAATACCTGTACTCCCATTGTATCTAGGAAGTAACTAACTTGCTTTTGATTTTACAGGCTCACAGGCAGGAGGAACTTGCCTTGTCTCAAAAGAGACTTTGGACTGTGGACTTTTGAATTAATGCTGAAATAAGTTAAGACTTTGGGGGACTGTTGGGAAGGCACGGTTGGTTTTGAAATGTGAGGACATAAGAGTTGAGAGGAGCCAGGGGTGGAATGATATGGTTTGGCTGTGTCCCCACCCAAATCTCATCTTGAATTTTAACTCCCACATTTTCCACATGTCATGGGAGGAACCTGGTGGGAGATAATTCAATCATGGAGGCGGGTTTTTCCCATGGTGTTCTTGTGATAGTGAATAAGTCTCACAAGATCTGATGGTTTTAAAAACTGGAGTTTCCCTACACAAACTCTCTCTCTTTGCCTGCTGCCATCCATGAAAGAGGTAACTTGCTCCTCCTTGCCTTCCACCATGACTGTAAGGCCTCCCCAGCCATGTGGAACTATAAGTCCATTAAACCTCTTTCTTTTGTACATTGCCCAGTCTCGAGTATGTCTTTATTAGCAGCATGAAAACCAACCAATACAGACATATCCAGAGCTTCAAAAAATAACAGCACCTTATTTAATTTTGTTTATCAATGTACATCTTTTAAAAATAATTCATGAAGTGCCACCACTGAGGAGTCCATCTTTCCTACATAAAATTGAACACAATGGTGAATCTGAGGTGAACTTAGATCATCTTTGTTCTCTACATTTAAGCATATTCATTAGTATCCTTATCTTTTGCTAAGGCTAGAAAACCAGAGGATTGTATGAGTTCTGCTTCCACCCTATCCATTTGACCACTAAGGTGGTACTGATTCATATCTGCTGTTGCAAACATATAAACATACTCTCTACTCACATTTTTTAGCCACACACATATTATTTGCTTCATATTCTAATGATTGCCAGAATATATGGATACAAACACAAATATCTCTTTTCTCCCTCTTTCCTGTCTATCTGTCTGTCTGTCTGTCTATCTATCTATCTATCTATCTATCTATCTATCTATCTATCTATAATCTATCTATCTATCTCTCATGGACTCCAGTGAATATTAAGCACACCCCATATTGCATCTCTATACATAGACACAGAGAGAGAGAGAGAGAGAGAGAGACAGACAGACAGAGAGAGGCCTATGTTTCATGACCATCCTTAATTTTTGTAGCAGAATACGGCATAATAAAAAGAATATCAGATGTGGAATGGGAGATGTGGATTCTAGCTTCAATTCTTTCACGTATCTTGATCAAATATCTTTGCTTCTGTAGATCTCCTTTTCCTCAGCAGTAAAACAAAGGACTGAGTTAAACTTCTAATCCACAATTTTATGATGTATGAATAAGTTATTCAAGCTTCAATCTGATACATAATCAGTTATTATATATTCCATATTTACCCTAATATTGAGTTCAGTCCCTGATAACTTTGGAATTTGAGTAGGTATTTTTCAATTAAGAAGAATCTGACAATTATGTAGTGTATTCCTCATTAGTCGCAAAGAAGGTCTAGTGACCTAAACTTACTTATTACCTAAAAGTGCTTATGCCTTAATTTACATAACAGTTCAAAAATACCTTGAAAGTTAAAAAATGTAATGTTTTGGTGATCGCAAAGATGCACCAACACATATTCATAGAAAATATTAAAACTACCCAGTTGTATTCCATGCAAGGTTGCCAAGTGGAACTGAATTAAAAGTATCAAGCATCTCTCTCAGGGAGCTTTCTCTGAAAGAGAATTAATACTTATATTCAGATACTTAGCTTTTATACCTACCTTATAAAGGGAAAGTGGTTGGTAGTTAAATAAAGTTGTGTGTTCCTTGCGGAAAGGGATGTGTCATATTCACCTGTGGATTCTCAGAGTTAACAATGCCAAGCATAGGAGAGACACTCAAAACTTTTTATGAGAAAATACTGACTTGGTCATATGCACCTTAGGCTTCTTCTCTGGGTCTCACAATCTCCATAGAGCATGGAGAACTGACTTAGTGAGGACAACGTTATCTTTAGATTGAGTAACACTTAAAAATGTTCCTTTTATTAGCAGTTGAATGCTAAATGTAAGTACATTGATGTACAAAATGATACAAAATGTATAAAATGATGGCTTACTAACACCCAATCTTCTGTAGTGGGGAAAAACTGTATATGTGATAGTCTCTTTTTTTCATCTAAAGAAATAATATTGAAAAAGTGTACATGAGTTATATATTTACAGTAGAGAAAGTAGAACAATCATGAAAATTACTTCTGACATTATTCTTTCTAGTAAATACAATGAACTAACATTAAGGAATATAGCTGTACCTATGAACAGCATGGGGTGAATAATTGGATAATAAGGCTGTACAAATCCAATTTTAAAAAACATAATTACAAGATTAGACCATGAATATCTACAATGGGTATAAAATATATCTTGATTTTACTGAAGTATTTGATGTAGTGTCTCATAAAATTTTATTCACAAAATTAATTTATACTGTCTATTTTAATTCACTGAGCACCATCTGAGAAACCAAACTCGATCATGTGTAGGAAATAAGATTAAGAGCAAATAAAAAGGTTAAGAAATAACAGGGAACTATGCTTCAAAAGACCTAATGAAATATCTCAAGCATTCAACTTTGTTTAACTCTTTGCTGATTCACAGAGATGGAAGTGTTACTTGAGTGAGTAATTCAGGCTGTCTGGAAGACTGAAGGATACTCAGCCTAGCTCATTCTCATTCCTAACAGTGCCTGTCTTCTAATGGGCACTCAGTAGATACTGAATGAATAAATTAATCAGATCTCAAGATGCTACACATCATTACTTAATTATACAGAGAAAGATGGTGGGGTGTAATAAGATTAGGTCATTTGCCCAAGGCTAGGGGCCTGGTAAACATTGGAACCAGGACTATAATTTTGGTTTTCTGAGTCAAGTGAAGCACTAACCTTTGCTAGATAGTCAAAATTCAGAGGTTCTACCTATCATATTCTGTACATGAATGTTAAGGAATTTATAGAGCGGTGTTAGAAAATATGAGAACAGTAAAATCACAGCACTATTTAATATTGTCAGTTGCAGAAAATGCATTTAATTTTGCATTATTTCTGTCCCATGTAATAATGACATTTCAGCTGTTCTTTGAAATGAATACAGGAATACCATGCAAGACCTCCCACTGAGCCATCAAACTTCCTAAAGGTCAGTTAACCATGCCTATGGATTTCATCTCAGGGCTCTGCAGCATACTCTCATCATAGAGTGAGCACTGAGTGCCTAGCATTCATTTTTAACTCCATTGCCCTTTGACTTGTTAGCCTGGGACTGATCACACTGCCTTGGTTTCCTTACTGTAAAAGTTGGCTGATGATTATTCCTTTTCCATTGCAAATTGGCAGAGGAAAGATTAACAGGCAAAGCATATGCCATGCGTTTTACAAGTGTATCATCTACAAAGCCGTGTGAGGATTTACTACTGAGGTGACACATCACAAAAAAAAAATGGGTATAAAGATCAAAAGTTGTCATATTTCTAAAGATTGGTGTCACTTAAGCCACATTTACTTAGGTGTTTATGAAAATGCTAAAATTCCCTGATCCTTTTTCTGTGAAGTCTCACAACCATGTTTAAATATTACAAGGTAAATGAGAAGTAAACAATACTTACTTGTAAAGATTCATTTAAAAGAAGAATACATAGCAGAATGAGAGCATTTGAGAAGATACCAAGAGTACTTGGGAGGTTTAAAGGATGATTAATAAATTATGACAATGTCTATTTTAAGATAATCCACAATTTGGTTTGTGTCAGGGATTCAGGCAAGAGAAGATAAATCTTGCAAGATGCATATGCTGAAAAGGGGTGATTTTAATGCCCTAGATTTGAGTGTTTTAATCCAATGCTAAGTGTGAGTTCTAAAAAACAAGCAGAGAATGACTGCATTCAAAGGTTCTGGTGAGGCAGGCAGACAGGCTTTGGGGACTTTGCTTTATGGCTCTGAAATAAACATGAGTGTGGCCATTTTGGAAATTCAAGATGAGTCCTGGTCATCTTGAACAAGTTTCCCTGTTAAGACACATATTGGGCAACTGGGGGCTTTATTCAATACAGGTTTTCTTTCTCTGTCTAAAATTAAAACACTTCCTGGGCCAGTCCCCATGCTGCACCCCATTCGAGCTACGGAGCTGGTATCCCAGATGGGAGGGTAGTGCCTTTTTCAAGTGTGTTGAAATGAAAATGGGATGGACAAATGGTGATAGAGGAAAATGGGGATTAAATGAGAAGAAAAAGCTCATAATTTTTATTACATTCCTCTAACAGGCTAATTAATCAAGGTAAGTATGTTTTAGATAGACGAACTGAAATGTGAATATAATAGCCAGCTTGAGCTTAGAAACATTTTGGAGATAATTTAGTACCACCTCCTCATTTACATATGTCATAAACGTGTCCCAGAGAAGCTCAGTTATGCAGCTGAGGTAACACAGTAGGAGTGAAAGCTGAGACTAAGACCAGGGTGTGTTGATTCTCATCTACGTACTAACCATACTAACTTGACAGCTCACTCCCCTCTGACCAAGACAAGGGTGGTGGCATATGCTTTATGATGCACATTATCCAGCTAATATACTCAGCTCTTCCTGGTGCATGGTGTTAAGTCTAACCCTTAAGAAAATGCTTCCAACCATGAAAGCTCCAAAAAAACTGGTGGCGGCATCTTTTTTTTGAAAGAATTAGAGGCAAATGAGATAATGATATAAACAAACTGAATGTAATGCTGAAATGTGAAGTTTCCTTTATCCATATTTCGTATTAGTCTAGCTAACAACTCTGGAGAAAACAATTTCAGAGTCACCCCTCTTTGCTTGTAGTACTGAATCAGTGTTTTCCTGATGTGAATAATCAGTTCTCCTAGCATGAAAGATGAGCTAGGAAGGCTCGGGCTTTGAGAGAGGACAAACTTAGGCTATTTTATCTGTTTTTGAATATATTACTTCATGGTCCTCTCCACAGGACACTGTGAGAAAACTCAATGTAGACAAAAATACAAACAAACAAAACCAAGCACAGAACAAAGCACTAACAAAGTGATTTATCCTGAGAATAATGTTTCATAATCAGATTTAAAAAAAATTCCTATGTTAGCAGTCTCAGGCAATAGAATCTGTTGTTTTCACTCCCTAGCATTCTACACCACAGCTAAGCATAGCTACATAGTAAAACATAACAGCCCTCCCTTGCAGCAACATCCAAATACTTTGTTGAAGAATTCTCTGTTTGGATCACAAAGGGATTCCCAAACAAAGTCTGGCACTGCAAAATCTACTTCCTCAGGCAGAGTCAAGCATGTTTTACATTTGTTGAACATATGAGTGTCTCATGGCAGCTGGGCAGGGGGAAATGATTTCATTCTTGAAGAGATGTCTCACTCACAATTGTTCTGGCAAGCTGGAAGAGTCAGTGAAGGTCTAAAATCTAATGCTTTCTAAGTATTCATCTCTGGAGTGACCAATTACACCACTGAAAACAAACAGGTCGGCCACCAGTGGGCCAAACCTCACATAGTGACCCAACGCCCAGGAGAATGACACCTGACCCCGTGCCTAGCGGCTGGAAGAAAAACATCCCCATGCATTATTTCTCTTGTAAAATTGGTAGTATTTCACCCCACTAAATTACTTAGATATTAGTCCATCACTGTAGGGTATTCATCCGGTTAAAGATTTCAGAAATGTTTGGTATCTCTCTCACTCTCTATATATGTAAGGTACTGAGTGATGTTCAAATATCTATGATTCTGACCAACAGAAGAAGCTTAAATATCCTCTGCTTAATAATGCAAACTTCCTCAATTTTAGCCAGTTTTTCATATGATTTACAGTTTCATTAGTCAATATATGTGTTGAAGAATGTGTGTCTTCCATAAACAATTTAGCCTTATTTAAAAATATGTACATAATAAAGATTTAAAAATCAAGCTAAATAAACAATGGTACGATATTAGGATGAAAACGGAGAGGAAATAGGACATAGAAATGTAGAGGGTAAGGCCAGGCGCAGTGGTTCATGCCTGTAATCACAGAACTTTGGGAGGTCGAGGCGGGTGGATCACTCAAGGTCAGGAGTTCGAGACCAGCTTGGCTAACATGGTGAAACCTGGTCTCTACTAAAAATACAGAAATTAGCCAGGCATGGTGGCACATGCCTGTAGTCACAGCTACTCAAGAGGCTGAGGCGGGAGAATTGCTTGAAACCGGAGGCAGAGGTTGCAGTGAGCCAAGATCGTGCCACTGCACTCCAGCCTGGGTGACAGAGTAAGACTCCGTCTCAAAAAGAAAAAACAAAACAAAACAAAACAAAAAAAACAGAAATGTAGAGGGTAAGATCTCACATAGTTACTAAATAATCTGGGACACAAATTTTGCTACTGTAAGTTTCCTAGTGGACAAAACAAACGAAAAAAAAATATTAGTTTCTTCACTCACCAGTTGTTTGGGAAATTTGATAGAGATTTCTTGCATGAGTGACACTAAATTTCACAGTAGGCAAGATCCCTGCATTAAATATAGAAATGAATTACAGCATCTTTCAATGTAAAATAAAGAGATCCTTAGGACTGGAGTAAGAGAATCGAGATTTGCCAGTACCCAGCATCATCCAGAGAAACTCTACAGTACACATTTCTTTTAGCTTCACTGAGCATAATTCACCAAAGACTGATTTCTTTCAAAATTGGGTAGGTTTCTTGTAGTAGACCTTGGGTCTTGAAGTGCATCAGAAACTACATTTTTGTTTTTTTTTTTTCCCCCAGGGCTGACTCTCCCCGATGGATGTCATACATCAACAATACACTTTCTCAAGCAGGTTTATTTTAAGGTTAGAGAGGAGGGATAATGGCATCAGCAGGGCATATCTGAAAGATTTCACCTCCCATGAGTCAAGATTCTGCAAAATCACCCAGTAACACAGTGCTCCTTCTCGGTGAGGAATTTCAGCCTTGCATTGCCCAGGGCTTCCATGCCTGTGTGTGTTGGACAGTCTAGTCCTGATTCATCCTCTGCTAACCATGTGCTGCAAATTCAGACCCCTCCCTTTGCTCCTTGGGCAGGAGCAGTTATGAATATTTATTGCAGCCACAACTCTGGCTTCCATGTCTGTCACTTTTGTTCATCTGCTGAAAGGCAGAGTGCAAATCACTGCAAATCTGGCCTTCAATATGGCAGAAAACTGCTTTCTTGTCTTGTTTAATAAATTGTGTTTCTTTCATATAAAAATAAACAGTTAAAATGCTCCCTGTTTTATGGGGCAGTGATTTTGTAGTACTAAGATGGGATATAAACAGAGTAACAAGGGCTGTTTGAAGGCATGTTTAGAATACTTCCTGCCATGGATTCCAAAATGAATGTGTTAATCCATGCTAATCTGGTTCAATCTTTGAAAACAATTACATTTATTTTACAACCCACCTGGCACACAGACTAGTAATATAAATATGCTCCATTGCTTACATATTTTCACTTTATTGTACCTGCAGGCAGAGTAAAAGCAAATAAAAAGATAATAATGCTGAATTTGATTAAAGTCGCTCAATAGTATATGTGACAATGTCAGATATATCTAGTTCTGTGTCTGATTTTTAATCAAAGTTTAGCAACTTACCCTTTTACAAGATGAAAAAATACTCCGTGAGTGTTGCATGTACAATTACTTTCAACAGCACCTTGCAAAAGAGAGCTACTTAATAATTTTAATCAGACGGTTTGGCAAATTAAAAAAGTTTGTATGGTATTAATGCACTCCCAGGAAGACACTTGACTCTATTATTACCCCTAAATATTAGGCTTTAATATTAATGCAGGATTATACTTGATTGAGTGATGACCTCTAAAACCTTAATTATGAAAGATAGTCTTCAGATGCAACTTGGGATTTATTTTTGCACCTTTCTTGTTGGCTTTTGAGTTCTACTGGAAGCTCGAACACAATGGAATGTTTGTAGTGAAACTAACTACTACTAAAGTACATACTTTATCATCCTTTTAGGGTATGGTGGTTTCTTAGAGCCCACTGCAATTTCTCAGGCCTTAAATGGCCTAAGTGGCAAGTGAAATGAACAATTAAGAGAGTATTTGAAACTAATTTAGGAATTCTCTTTAATTCAATTGAGCGTGTATTTCCTGAACACCTACTATGTGCCTGCCAGTCACTGTTTTAGGCACCTGGGGTTTATCAGGGAACACAACAAAGATCCTCCCACTCATGGAGCTTATATTTCAGCAGGGGTGGGAGATAATAAAGATTCAAAAGAAAGAATAAGTAAATCATATAGACTGTTTGGGGATGATATGTACTATGGATAAAAGAAGCAGAGGAGCATGGTACCAGCGATTGGAGACAGGGCAGATTGCAATTTTAACTAGGTACATTTGAGTGTTATTTGTTAGGTTAAAATCACAGTGTTGGGAGACCTAAGGGTGTTCTTTCCATCTCCACATTTTTTAAAATTATCATTAGTAGGCTGAAATTGTTTTTTCTGTATAATAAATTTGAAAACCAAAGAGAGGAGATGATATTTGAGAAGAGGTGGTCAGAGAACTAAGAGTAGAGATGCATGGGTATTGTGTCTGGCCTGAAGGATGGCAGATCTTTAGCAGCTGGGAGCAGGGAAAGAGGCTGCCACAGACTGGATGTTTATGTATCCCCAAAATTCAAATATTGAAAATGAAACCCCAAAGTGATGGTATTAGGAGGTGGGGCCTTTGGGAGGATTAGGTCATGAAGGAGGAGCCCTCATGAATGGGATTAGCACTCTTTCATGAAAGAGGCCACAGAGAACTTGCTTTCCCTTCCACTATGTGAGGGCATAGCAAAAAGATGTCCATCTTTATATAAAGCAAGCAGCGGGCCTTCACAAGACAACAAATCTAGCACCTTGATCTTGGACTTACTGGCCTCCAGAACTGTGAAAAATAAATATCTGTTGTGTATAAGATACCCAGAAATGGCATTTTTGTTACAGCAAACCAAATAGACTAAGAAACTAAGGAGAAACCAGAACACGTTCGTGTTCATGGGTTTTAAACCCATTCCAATCCTTGAACCTCTTTATCCTGCTCCCTGTTGGCACCTCCAGGCTGGCTGTGGGTGTTACAAGTAGCACTTCTGTGGCTCAGCCAAGAAGACAAGGATGAGGGGCTGCAGGAGGGTAAACGCTGAGGAAAGATAGGAGAAGCAGAAAGGGAAAGTGAGAGAAAAACATTTCCTTCCATGTAGGCACTCCTTCAAGAGATGCACAAGCTTGGGAACAATACATAGTAGTCCACACCCAGCAATTGTTATTTTTGCCTAAATAACAGCGTCTGATTACTGAAAAAAAAAAAAAGAAAAATGCTTTCCTGGATGCAAGTGTATTTGTGTGAGTAAGTGAACAACATGAACAACATGTTAATGCCTAATCCTGAGCTAAGCCTTCAAAGTTAAGCTGAGTAAGAGATTTTGCCTTCTTAAAAAAAAAAACTCTATAAATAAAATGTAAAGCTCTTTTTTTGGTTTTCATTTTGTAACCTTTAATCAAGTAAACACTAGAGTTGAGCCAAGAATGCTAGCTAACCCTTGTGCTTAAAATTCTAAAAACACTTAGAACATAAACTTTGGATAATACCATCATGATTGAAAGAATGATGAAGAAATTGTTGAGTAGCAAGCATTCAGGGACTTGTCTACATTTATTCTAACTTATTGGAACCTAACGTATCTGCTTCTAACTTATCAGAATTTGGATGTGTGGCTTCACCTACCAAACTCTTGCCCTAACATTCAAAATAAAAGGCGATGCATGGGAAGGAACCTCATCATTCAATGACAGTAGCTAGTCTGCTTTCACCAGTTCCTGCTCTCTATGCCTGGAGTGAGCCATTCACATAAGAAACCACTGAAATCTTCCGAGGGCAGAGAGGAACTGCCCCAGGCTTATAAAAACAGGCTTTGATGGTTTTATTCCTATTTGCTAGTAAATGTAGTTCGTCCAAACTTGGTCTGGGCTTGGCTTTGATTGTAACCACCTAGGGGGCTATGGTGTGGGACTTGTCTTAATAAACACCAAAATAACCTCTGGGAGCTACCAAAAGACCCTGACAATTGCTTAACAGCCAAATTAGCTTAGGTCAGTTCAAGCACACCAAGTTATATTTGTTGAATGAATAAATGAATGCATGAATGCACGAATAATCCTTAGCTAGCAAATAAGCAATTGAAAGGTAAGTGAACATTGGCACTGGGCTAGGTCTCTCCATTGGCAGATGGAAAAAATAGAAGGCCAGAAATCATCTTGATTTCCGTACCGTAAATATGTATGTCCCAACTTTCCATTCTCAAGCTTATAAAATCAAATAAATATATATAACAATTGAGTACTATTGCTGATTTTCTAAAACAAGGTAAATGGAATTTTGGGGAAGTCCTGAGCATTATGATCTTACTTCCGTAAAGGCAAAGGTTTTCTGTAATAGTAGTCTAGGTTTATTTCCCAGCTCTTTAAGAATTAGTGGGACTCTTACTAAGACATTCCTTTGAATATGCTTATGATATAAATTAAACTTCCCTTACAGGGTTTTGGGGTAATGACCAGAATCTCTGGGGGCATGTTTCAGATAATGAGTACAGTTATGAAATTAATTTATTCTTAAGATGAATCTATAGTGAGTTTGAATACAGCATGTTTCCTTTTTAAATCTATACATCTAAATGATCTGTCTTTTATCAGCTGTCCTGTTTAATTTCTGCTGGGCTTTTTTTGATTAAGACCATGTGCTCTCTTAGAAGCACTTGGTTTCTGTCAACTCTCTTTCATCCAATAAGTCTGTTTCTTTTGAAGGTCACAAATTCAAGCACTTATTTAAACCCCCTCAGTAAAGTACAGATGTGTAAAACAGTATAATGATGGTACATATTTCACAACGGTGGTTTCCAGTGCATAAATGTCCTTTCTTGAAGGTATTTCCTCTCTTTTATTTCCCAATAATGGAGAACAATAAAGCATAGTTAAAAGAAATAGAGATTTTTATTCCCTTCGTTTTATTCAATTCTTTCACCTTATGCTACTTACCATTTTAAACAAACTAATGAAATGGGAAAACATAATCCTAGTTAGCACTGCAACAGCAAACACAGATTTTCAAATATTTCGTGACTGTGATAATAGTCTCAATGAACATTGGATAATTATCTTCAGATAAAATTAAGGTTTCAATAATCTGAGCATTTTCACTCCCGAATAGAACTAATTTGAAAAAGTGATTTTAAACAATCTGCATATGATAAGATTACACTTGTAAGCAACAGTAGGCTGGTATTTCACTCTTATTTCCCAAATATGATATACTTTCTTCCAATTCTTCTCTATTAATCATAGAGCTAACAAGTTGAACATAATCAACCTCTAAATTTCATTCACTATGTAACATTGAGTTTATTTTTCAAATGGCAAACACACATTCTGAATATGTTAAGTGCAAAGGCAAAAGGGAATAGATTTTAAAAAACCCTTACAACTCAATATAATAGCTTTGTTTCAATAAACCATGCCATGGATGTAAATATGAGTGGTCATGATAGAAAAATGCAACAAAATGATAAGATAACTATAAGCACCCTTTTCTCATTACTGAAATTTCAGGTAATGTTAATGACATCCAGAACAGGCTTACAGCCATTCCTCTTTTGATGATTCTGTCTTATCATGAATAATGTCATTGGATGAAAGTGAAAAGAATTGCTGATTTGGAAGACATGCTTTATGTTTTAACTACATGACCCCTCAGATTGGATTTCAGTGTTATGGGAGAAATTATCGTTGGACTAATGGATTTTTCCATTATTGATCATTAGTATCTCTACTGAATTTTTCAGTAATTAAATATACATCTACTACTCATGAGGGTAATTATAAGAGATTTGTGTATCTTAACAAGATTATACTGTTAAAATCTGACGCTCATCTTCCAGATTCTCAGACACTGACTTCATTCTCTAGCTCCCAGTCCTACCCAGAGGCTCGGAGTTGACTCAGCAGGGACCAACTATTGCTTTCCAAGGCCTAGTCTGTAAGGGAAGAGGAAGATGATCATTCCTGAACATGCTTTCAAAGTGACATTCTCCACGTGTATTGAATTTGCTTGCATAATTTCTTAATTATTTATTCAGTTTAATTAATCCTTGAGTAACTCACTAATATAGTTTATAGGACTGGGTACTCATTCAAAAATATTTTCCCTCTTCCTTTTAAATGATTAATATCAGAAGTTAGACCTTAAAGAAAAAGAAGGTGGTGAAGTGGGGGGAATAATAGAAAGGGGAGAGATTGTTCCTAAATTAATAAAAAAAGGGGTTAGAGAGTGTTACAAGACATGTGTGTCCAAAACTCTAGAAATGGCTGTGGGAAAGAAGAAACAAGTAAAAGGAAAAGAACCAGCCTTCAGGATTTATCACAGATGACTGACAAATCACACACTTGGAGATACAGTAGGGACCAAACCAGTCCTCTGGTCCAGCTCTTCCTTTTAGCAGATGAGGAAGCTAAGAGGGGCTGGGCCTTGGCTGAGTCAGAGTCCTGTTAGGTGGTGGTGCTATGATCAGACAGAAGTCAGGACAGCTACCTTCAAGATCAGCCTCCCCACTTGTAATTCTGGACAGGTCCTCAAGTGGAACCTCATCAGTGGGTTTCAAAACATCCAGGGACACCCGCCATATTCTCAAAATTCTGTATCTGTGTAGCTATGGCTATTTTTTTACTTTTTGTTTTTTTTAGGAAAAGGGCACTTGTCTTTCAAAGACTTCCCAAAGGGATCCATGATTCAAAACTAGTTAAATCTACTGAGTTGGGCTTATTGGAGAATCAGTAAATTCCAGGTTGCAAAAACTTTATTTGACTACATCCAACAATTACTGCTAAGACTCCAAGTGATAAAGGTTCTTTGCTAAAAAGTGTACCCATTAATTTGGTTTACTTACAGTTTATTCAGTTAAATTATACATTTCTCTTTGAACTATAAACTATTCTTTTCAAGTACTCTAAACAGCCTTAGGTCAGAAGACCTAAAAATCTGGTAAAATAATCACGTTTCATTTTATTATAATAGTAGATTTACATTTAAATTTTAAATTTGTTGTCCTTTCTGTAGTGATTTGCTCTAAGCAAATCACTTTGGTGAGTAGGATTTTTGGCCAGTGCTATCCTAGATGATTACCTTTTCTTTCTCCTCCTTTCTTTGCTAGTGACCACAGTTTGCAATATTATTCTTGTCATTCTTGCAATTGTAGAATTGTAACATACATTTAAAGTATATAACTGCTTCACCCTGTGTTTAACTAAAAGACAGACCCTCACACTTTCACCAGGGCTGATTCTCAGCTCCCTCAGGGTCTTCGCTGAGCCCCTGCTTTTCTCTCACCTAGGTGTGGGGCTAACAGTCAACAATCTGAAGACCAGCTTCCTTCCCTGTCAGACGACAATATCCAAACACAGGACGAGAATAAAGCTGGCATATGAATCTAGTCATACAAACCTTCTGAGACACATGGTAATTATTACTTCTAGTCATTTTTCAAATACGTTTTGTGTATTTGGAATGGGGATTTTTTTAGGTGTGGATGTGTGTGTGAGTGCAGGTGTGCAGAGAATAAGATTAATTCGGGTTTGAGACTCAGATCAGTCCACAGCTCTCTAAGCTCTCTAATACAGAGCATACAAGAAGTACTTGCTTTAAAGTCGAAATCACTCCCCCATGATTTACACTGACAGATTAATATAAGAAATTCAGTGAATTTCCCACAGGTCTCCTAACCCACTTGGTAAATGCATCCTTATAAAGTGCAAACAAATAATGGCATAATTGGCTTTGTGAGCCACGTGGATTAGACGACCTCTTCTGAACTCTCTTTTCTCAAAGGTGGGCTTGAAGGTAGGTAAGATGATTGTTGAGTTTTCAAATAGAAGGAAAGGCTGACCTTGAGGCTCTAAGGAGGCCAGCAGCTGGCCGCCAGGAGGTGTCAAAAGGTGGGATTATTTGGATCAGTGGTTATCCAAAGTGTGGCCCAGTATCAGCAGCATCAGCAGCACTTGGGGACTTGTTAGAAACACACATTCCCCACCCCAGACCTACTGAATTAGAAACCCTGGCAGCGGAGCACAGCGCTTTGTGGTTTAACAGGCCCTCCGGGCGACTCCACTGATCTAAATGAATTTACCACTGTTCAGGTTCACATCTCAGCTCTGCTGGCACAGAGGCTGGGCTTTGCGAGTGACAATCAGCCATCCTCCGTGACACTGGCCCTAACCACAACCACCTGGGCTGATGCACTAACCAAAAAGTCAAGTTTTAAATTAGGAATGGCGGGGCGGGTATTCTTTTCCAGAGCTAGCAAGATTTACTTCCTCGGTTTAGAGTCCCCTCTTCTTTGATCATAGGACCTGAACAGCTTATATCCGGACTCAGAATGCCATCTGGTGAACAAAGCATTAGAAGAAACTAAGAAAGGTGACTTCTAGGACTTTTAATCCTTTTAATTATTAGCAGAGTGTTCATATTCCTCTCATTCAGCACCTTTTCCACCAATACATGCCTGTCCAAATTTGCTTTTTTGAAGCCCCTCTCTTTTTTTTCAGCTCCACCATCCATTTCAGCTAATATCTTTTAAAAATAAATGTACTAAAATACCTGGTTAAACTAGGTAGCTTTTCTGAATATAAGTATCTATATCTCTGAAGTAAGAATATTATCTGTACTGATTTACTAATTTAACTCTTAGGAAACTATTTTGTTTTTCTTTCCTTCTAATCATCGTGGAAAAGAAATATCTAATTGTTTCCCTAAGTATCAACTACCCAGAAAATGGGTGTTTACAGACCTGGAGTTACATATATAGATGGGATGAGCTTATCATTTGTTGCCCAAACAGGAATACTTTTGAAAGTGAAAGGGAGGTGGCTATAATTATGTTGGGACAAGTGTGATTGTTCTCAGTTAATCGGACAGGGGGTCAGATTTAAGGAACTACCATGGTTCACTGCAGCTTCTATTTCTTCCTTCACACTCTATTGTGAATTTATTGGGTAATACCTAAAAGAATTAGGTAAAAATTTTAAAATATAATTTTAACAATTACTACCTTTGGGCTTTTAGCCCCCAAAAGCTCATGATTTCATGTGGAAGGTGACAACCCTAGTCCCTGTTACACTTCAAAAGTCGGTCTAACTCTCTAATCCAGAGTTTTAGCTCTGGTTGTTTATCCAAATTGCCTACAGAGCTTTGAAAAAATGCCAGTGACCCTCCATAATTCCAGTTCAGTAGCCAGGGTTAAAGAAAAACACGCTACTTTCATCACGTATCCCCCGAAAGTCATTCCAGAGTTTAACTATATTGAGTGGCAAAAACCATTTAGCTTCTGCACAATTTCCAATGCTTCTATGGCTAAGATGCAGTAATTCTGTCAATTACCCATGACAGTCATTCTCTTCAAAAATGAAGTCACTGATTTTAGCTCCTCTAAAACCCTTTCTGACATGCATATTTGGTAGAAGCTGAGCTTGAGAAAACGGGAGGTGATGTGACAGCTGCCTAGGATGGTTGTATTTGTAAGAGGCCACTTGAGAGAGAATAGAGTCCCAGAGTAGTGGCCCCAAGGTGGTGAGGGTGGGCAAAGGCAGTACAGAAAGGGGAGCTTTCCTAAGGGACTTCCTGAGAGTTCAATGAGCCAGAGTCCCAAGGGGCATAGCTTCAACAGAGGACCTTTAATAAGGGGCTCCTGACCTTAGTTTGATTGAGATTAAGGGACACATAATTAATTGCCTGGCTAAGGCAGGCCCCCAAGAAGCTTAAAATTAAGTTTGGAAGAGGACACTAAGGGGAAAAATGAAACAAATGAAACAAAAACACCGTGTACAAATCGGTACAGACTTAATTGTTAAACGATGTAAGGCATAAACTGAGGGATATAACATTGAGAGGAGTATAGAAGAGTTGAAATCTCTAGAGGAGTTTTAAAGGAGATGCATCAGTTTGAAATACAATAAATGGTTCCCTCGTCCTACAACATGAAGTTGAATCTCCATAGCATAAATATATCAACTCCACAGCATAGCATATGAGGCAGTTCATAACCTAGCCCCAACCAAACTTTCAATAATGATACCGTTAGGCATTTTCACCCCTTTTCCTTCCCTGCCAACCCACCTCTACATGCTATGGTTTAGTTAGACCATTTTTTAGACAAAGTACCTTCATTGCACCATTTCTTTGCTCTTGCTGTCCTCTCTGCTTATAATGCATGACCTGACCCAAATCCCTGATCAATTTCCTTTTATATTTTAAGACCCAGTTCAAATACTACCTCCTATAAAAAGACTTCTTTGCCCTTATCTAGGTAACATTAATCACACTCATCTGTTTTGCTATAGCATTTTCAACATATGTAGCCAGACTACAGCCTGATTAACATGATGCTTTATTTAACTGTTTATGCGTCTTTCTCCCCACCAGACTGGGAACTCTGTGTAACAGAGGCCATGTCTTTTTTATGTTTTTATTTCCACTACCTTACATGGAGAAACTCTGTGGTATTCCCACATCCTTATGTGGTAGCATATCTAGCAGGCACTCTAGATATTTACTGAATATTGTTGAATCAAAACACTTTCATATATTTAATGATGCTTTACTATCTTTAATAAGAAATATAAATGTTCTTAAAATTTCTAAAATTCACTAGAAAGGTGTTTCTGCAGTTTGTATCACTTCTAACCCAAATTCTATGCAGTGAAACTAAAGAGTAAGACAAAAATCTCCTTGAAGCCATGTTGAAAGTGCCACAGAATCTGTGCAAGATTGTTATCCTTTTTTTAATGAAAGAAACAATTATATCCTTTAAGAAGAGTCCTTTAATTTTGTGCAATTATTATGTACTCTTTCGTTAAGAATATCTCTTTACACTTTCCATTATATATGCTATTATACTTAATGGATACGTTTTGAACACGTCCAGCAATACGGAATTTGGAAACAAATACATACTCTCGTAAAGTGCTCTGCATCTTGGGAAACACAAACCAAGCTGAGTAATTGCCAGAGAGAAAATTCAAAAAGCAACAAGAGTATATGCCTTAGATGCATGTGGAAGCTTGTGATGCAAAACAGCCTGCCAAGCTGTTAAAGCAGCACCTTAACTTTAAAAAAAGTTGAGTGTGCAAGATAGCCTGTTTAAAGTAAGATGTGACTGTAGTGGATTTTGAGGGCAGATGATGGATAGGTTTGAAGAATCCTGTTGTGCTAAGATTATAATGCATTTGAAAACTTGACACTTCAACCTTATTAGCCCACCAGAAGCAAGGAGGTTTCAACAATCCTATTTATCAAGGGTAAGCAGCTTATGAAGACTTTCTAATTATTAAGGCACAGCAATCAATCTAGTAATATTCCATTACAGAGCTCTAAGTCCTTGAAAAAAGTTTGAGAAATTAGGTTTATATACCACTTGTTAGGGTCAGAACTTATATATGTGATGGAAGTCAGTATCTTTTGCCATCTGTCAATGAAGACAATGCTAATCACATTCCCAAAGTGGATTATCTAGCAGGGACATTTGATTGCCCTGGTTCAGCTCATGACCAATAGGATGCATTTACGACACTACTAGCTAGATTACAAATGCCATTTATGGTGCTAGTTGCAAATTGCCTCTTACTGGTAGGCACTGAAGGAGTGGCTTCACTGGCATAGGGACCCAGAAACCAGGCTGAACTGTAATAACGTAATAAGAGCTGTCAGGAAGCCTGTTTTCCCCTCTCAGTAAGAGGATTGGCAAATTTCTGCTACTTCTCCTGTCCTATCTCCCTAAAGAGATAAGGAGAGTAGAAAAATCATGTTGCTCTCTGAAGGCCATCCTGGCACCTTAGCGCTGGTGCCAGGAGGTCACCCAGAAGTCTGAGTCTAGCAATAACGTCTATTGGTGCACATTCTCTGTGCCTGCTTAGCAGGCTAGCTTTTGCTGGTGACAGTCTCATGATGGTGGTATATTCTACAACAGCACAGTGGAACAATTGGAAGCCTTCTAGGATGTCAATTGGAAGGACATTGGAAGATTATAATGATGTTGAGTAATGTATAACAAGGACAGTACTGCTACTATTAGTATCATGGGAAGCACGATAGAGTTTTCAAAACACACCCACGCTCTCACAATTTCATTGGATTTTCACAAAAATTGGTGAGATAGGCAGAGGAAGTGTTATTAAATCCACAATACAGAGAAGAAAGCAGAAGTTAACAGCACTCTGTTATTCAGTAATTTATTCAACAAATATTTACACAGCATCTATTACGTTCCAGGAATTGCTGCTGAGAATATGGCAAAACAAAACAGACCAAACCCCTAGTTCAAGAGATGGAGAAAAAATACCTGTATTTGTTTTCATGATGCTGATAAAGACCTACCCGAGACTGGGTTATTTATAAAGAAAAAGAGGTTTAATGGACTCACAGTTCTACGTGGCTGGGGAGCCCTCACAATCATGGTGAAGGTGAAAGGCACATCTTACATGGCAGCAGACAAGAGAGAATGAGAGAGAACCAATCGAACAGGGAAACTCCTTATAAAACCATCAGATCTCATGAGACTTATTCACTACCATAAGAACAGTATGGGGGAACTGTACCCGTGATTCAATTATCTCTACCTGGTCCCTCCCACAACATGTGGGGATTATGGGAACTATAGTTGAAGATGAATTTTGGGTGGTGACCCAGCCAAACCACATCAATACCCAAACAAACAGATAGGTAAAGTACACTGTGATAAATTAAAGAGAGGAGCTCCTTAATAAATGGTGGTGGGGAGGATGATGAAAATTTTATATCAAGTAACAGGGGAAAGAGTCACTAAGAAGGTGCATTTTGAGTGAAAGTCTCAATGGAATGACTGGAGGTGCCACATATATTTCTGCGGCAAGAGCAGTGCAGGAGCAGGGAACAGCAAGTGTGAGGGCCCTGAGGTGTGATGATGCCTGGAGGGTTTGAGGAACAGTGAGGAGGTCTTAGAAAGCAGATCTCATGTCTTCTGATTTCACAGTCTTATTTGCTCAACCAGGTCCCAGGTATCTGAGGCAAATTATTTGTTATTACCACAGTGTATCTTCAATGTCCTCAATCCATAGATGCCACTCTTCAATCAGTAAATCATTGCTCATAACTATGAATCAGTCAGTCCCTGATGTGGAGAACACTGCTAGGATCAGTGGGGGGTTGGGGAGGAGGGAGGAGATAGTGACCACAGGGACAATGCCTCTTTTTTTTTTTTTTTGAGATAAGATCTCCCTCTGTCACCTAGGCTGCAGTGCAGTGATGCAGTCGTCTTACTGCAGCCTCAGCTCCCTGAGTCTAAGGATCCTCCCACTTCAGCCTCCAAGTAGCTGAGATTACAGATGCAGGCTGTCACGCTTAGCTGATTTTTAAATTGTTTTCATAGAGATAGGGTCTTGCTATGTTGACCAGGCTGGTCTCAAATTCTCAAATTCCTGGGTTCAAGTGATCCTCCTGCCTCAGCCTCCCAAAGTGCTGGGATTACAGGGGTGAGCCATGGCACATGGTGACAATGCCTTCTTCATAGATACAATGGCCGAAGGGGAGCAGAGAACATGAAGACACAGGAGGAAATGCCATCCAGAAGTAGGTTCAGATAAACACTGAACAAGAAGCTGTACCGTTCCAGGGCAATGTTAGGGCCATGGGGTCCACAGTGGGAAGGTGATACAAAAAAGCAGTGAGAATTAAGTCAGAAGGGAATCAAATCTCCCTACTACCATCTGCCCTCCCCTGCAATCTGCTGCACACCTAGACATTGCCTCCTGCGACCAGACCAAAATGACAATGTTTTTCTTGTCCCCTACTAAGTTCTGAGGTCCCCGAATGTAGGATTTCTGTCTCTTCGTTTTTTTTTTCTGAACCCCACAGCGGCTAATCCAGTGCTAGGTGTAAAGGAAATGGCTAATGAAGCTTCAATAAATTAATGAATTATCGTTGAAGCTGATGGGTGAATATTTCACAGCAAGGAAGCAAATGGCGCCCACTGCTCATCCTCAACTATTTCTCTCTCTTTTTTTAATTTTTTTTACTTGCAAGTCAGGCTTTTACTATGTCATCCAACACTAACTTCATTTATCCTGGTTTCTTATTTCTGTGCCTCTAGTAGTATGGGAAAATCAATGCCATTTCTTAATCAACTGCTATTTTTGACATTATCATTTTATCCTTATGGCTGTTCCCAAGACGGCAAAAATATATTTATAACCCTTCATTCCTGCACTCAATACTATCTGTTTTCCTTGTCATGGGTCCTTCATGTATTCTTATGCCTGAAGGTTTGAAAAGGCTAGGCATCATCTCATTTTCCCACTCATTCATAGTCTATATGTTTTCCTCAGAGCTCTTGTATCTTTCTTTTCTTCCTGTAGATGACTCTAACCAAAATTAACTTTGCTATTTCTTCCTGGAATTTTTACCATGAGTTATTTTTTTTTTAATTGCCAACTTTTCCCAGAGAAAAAAAATGTTAAATATTTCTCAAGTGTTGCTTCCCTTTGTGTGTGAAATAAATCTGTGAAATAAATGTCTATTTCAGAAATGCATTAACTAGATTTGAGGATTATCTATCAACTGCGAATCTGGAGTCAGATGCTGTGAGATTTGGCCAAACACTTAAATTCACAGGCTTGGTTAGTTTCCACAGCAGTTGAGAATTCAATGAAGAAATGTCACTAAACAAAACGTTATATAAATGTGTAGTGTTGATATTTTACTGCTCTGGTTTTGGTAATTTAAAGAGGCTTTTAAGTTAGACTGGTTAAATCTGTTTGGCAAAGACCATTTTCACCTTGAAAACCGTTTTTCTTTATTACAATGAATATTTGTAGTTTCTACTTTGGCATGTGCCCAGAGTAATTTGCAAATCCGAGTGGAGATATTTCAACATGCATGATTCCAGAAACCACTGTACATTATTTGCTTTAACTGGATCATTAAGATCCTTGATCTTTTTTTTTCTTCCATACTTCTTGTTTTTTGTAGGAGAAAGATCAGGGAATGCAACTTTAACTGATTTCTTGACCCTTTCTGGGAATGAAAACAGATGGATGCTGAAAGAAAAAGGGTGTCACTGATGATTTTGAGATCATGAATTTATTCTCTACTCAGTGTATTCAGCAAACCGGCATTGAGTAAAGGCTGAGATCCCCCTTTCTCCCACTCATCCCGTCTCAGAGCATTGGAAAGAGCAGCATATTCAAATGTCTTAGTAATATTTAATTGGTTGTCATTTGGAAATTTGTGGGTTTTAGAAATTATTAGTGCTGTTTTCCTGATTTTACTATCCTTTAACATTATCCAAGAATACCAATACATTTAAAAATATTCAGTGACATACTAAAGGGGACCTGTTTGGTACACTGAAGTAGAGAAACTAGTACTTGGCTTCCTGATTAGACTTTTGCAATGATTCGTTCTATTCAAATAGAGTAATGATAATATAACTCAGAATTCCTAAAAAACACTATAGATTTAAAGTTCTTTCCTTACCTTTAAACTTATTTTTAAGGAGTATAATCCTCCAACTTCGCAGTAGTGGCGAACTATAGTTAGTATTCATTGCAAGCTTATATTGTACATTTTACACACACTACTTCTAGTCCTAACAACTAAGAAAGGCAGGTACCTTTTAACTAATGAGACAAGATTCAGAAATCTTAAGCAACTTGCCCAAGGGCATGTGGAGGAGGTTTATTTAAATGTAACCTCATTGAAAACTGAACTTAAATGACATATAGACACACAAACGCAGGAAAACAACATAAATATAAGAGAAATGCAGAAAAGTGGAAAATGAGATGACTCCAGGGATAAGGTATAATAATAATTTCATGTTATAAGAAATAAAAGTGAGCCACTCTGACAGTCATATTGGTCAATGAGGGGAAAGTGACTTTATGAAAATTACATTTTCCATTACATTTAGTCAGATTAGTTGCTTGGGAACTAGATTTTCCCGGCTCTGTTCTGAGCCCTTTAAAGGGAATCCTGGGTGGTACAGTGAAGTTCTTTCTCCTCTCTGAGGCATGTCCACACAATAAGTTCAATAGTGAGCTCAAGTTCAATAGTGAGGTCTTCTTGTAAGACCTCAGAGTGTTGACTGCTGGTAACACTTCAGAGTATATTCTGCAAAAGCAATTCTACAAACGTTCAAAGCAATGTGGCCCAGGCTTCAGCACTATCACTTAGGGAAACATTTTAGAACCAAGTTGAAAGAATGAGTGGCCTGTGTGCAACATTTTATACATGTAATTCTAAAAAAATCAAGAACCAGTAAAAAGCAAGTTCATGGTTATTGCTGTGGGTGGGACATGGAGATCAGTTACTCCAGTCTCTGTTTCACAGTAAACCTATTTTTTTGTTGGCAGTCCGCTGAGTGGAGGGTAGAGCTGCTGGGGAGTATAGTCTCTGGGTTAAAGCATGGACTTTGTGTGAGCCAAATCTAGCATTGTTTCTTGGCTCTGCCACTTACTCGAACTCTCTGAGACTCAGTTTCCTCTTCTGTAAAATGGGGACAATAATCACACCTTTCCTTTAGGACTGTTTTGGTGGTTCAATAGAATAATGCATGAAAAGAATTTATTGTTAAGAATATCATTAACTAATATTATGGACATTCTCTTCTGAAACGTACAGGGCTAACAGAAGGTTTTGCTTGAGTAGATGTGGGTATGGCAATGGTAGAGAGTGTGTGTCATGGTAGGGCATTTTTTTTTTTTTTTTGAAAATCCATGAATGCTGGAAGCCTCTGGTTTCTATATTGCTAACAAGTGGCTGAGTTACAGCCACATCTTATTTTTGCCTAAAACCAAAGTCTGTGTCCTTTCCTTATAGCCAGTTCCTTACCTGTTTTAAATATTTTCACCAAGGTTCATTCCCTAATGGGTTCTACCTTTTTCTCAATGTAGAAATAATTCTGCAAGTCACTTTGTCTTGCTGTATTTTAATTCACTGATCACAAAACAAAGGTTTTTCTATGTCAGTGTTTCATACTGCCAGGTGGACAAGAGGAAGAATGTCTGCAAACACTTGATCATCTTAGCAACTATTTGAATTTTTTTAAATAAAAAAAAGTATGGTTTTAGATACTAAGAAACTAAATTATATAAACGTTAGCAAAATATTGACATTTGGTATGTGAATTTAATGAGCAATTTCCTAGCTCCCAAAATATTTATTTTCAATATCCTACTTGCTTTTTATGGTCTATCTACTCGATTTGAAATCTGTTCCATTTATACAATCAGTAAATTACTTTTCCATAATTGCTGTTATTACAGACCTCTTCATATGCTCCTACTTATTTCTCAGAATTCTATGACAGGAAGACATTTGTAATGGAGTCCAGATACATCATGAAACTTTAGGAAACAATGAAAATGTTTCCCTAATATTAAAAAATATTATTTAAAAATAAACGTACCTATACTTATCTGCTGTGGTAACATAGGCTATTCACAAATATATATCTCACTCTTATATTTAGCCCATTATGAAGTTTTCTTAGTTATATTAGCAAGAATATCCTAGTTTTAAAAAAATCCTTTATATGATACGGCACGTTAAAAAAAGGTGTTAATTTGTTCAGTTAAATAATATCAAAATGAATAGGTGGAAAAATTAAACTAAAAAGATCTTGATACCATTTCTTATCTGAAAAAATCTAAAAATCTGACATCACCTTGTCTTATGAGATTCTGGGGAAATAGGGATTCTTATAAGTAGCTGGTGGGAATGCAGATTGATACAAGCCTTCCAGAGGAAAATTTGATAACACTTAACAAAACCACATATGTACTTATCTTTTGACTCTAAAATCCCAATTCTAGGAATCTGTTCTGAAGATACATCCTTAACAACACAAAAATACACATTCATTAAGTCAATCATTATAGCATATTTGTTATAGCAAAATATTGGAAACAATACTAATTAACCATGGTGCATTCAACAATGAAGTACTACACAGCTATTAGTAATGTGGAAGATCTTTATGAACTGATCTGGAATAACTTCTACAATTAACCCATTTATGCCTGAGGCTGCAATTTTTTTGAACTTTTGCAAGCAGACCTTGGCGATGACCTTGAGCTGTAGGATAGAAATAACTCCCACTTGATTAGCATTCCAATAGTGGAACACTAGGCATAAATTTAAGTGAAAACAGAAAAGTATAAAAGAATATCTACAGTATGCTACCCTTCTTGTAAGAAAAAAGGAAATATAATCAAATACACACATATCTACTTATACGTGCAAAAGAAGTACAGGAAAGATAAACCACAAACTAAAGAGATTGATCAACCTGCAAAGAGTGGGTGGCAAAAGGATAGAAAGAAGGGGATTATGGCCCTAAGTTAGTATGGATAAAGGTGGGGGGACATAGCTAAACACATAACTTTTGTATAGTTTTGAGACTTAGAACTACAGTAATGCTTCATATCCTACTCCAAAATAAAGAAATAATTAAAATAAACCAAGATGTAGGAGAACTTAAAACGGAATCCTAACAGTACCAAGGAAACCTAATTCTATTACCAATGAATATAACAACATTCAAGAAGATGACTAACCTAAGTAACTAAGAACATAACTAACCTAAGTAATTTGAAAAGCTATTTTGACTGGATACCACAAACCTAAAGGCAAAATAAACTCTACAGAAATACTGTGCTCTCGCTGGTCAATATATTTCTTAAAGGAGTATGGGTTAGCAACTCCAACTTATATACATTCTGTCTTTAACAAATATGTTAATATATTGCAGATAAAGAAAACCGGATTTCTCATTGTTGGAGAAAGATGTTGCAAATAAGGAAAGAGAAGGCTAGAATGAACTTTGTGGTGTTCAGCTGGCATCAGTATGAACTCACAGACAGATATATACATATACATATACACACAAAATATACACACAAAATGAAGTATATAGTTTAGTTAATAGTATTATAGCAATGTTAATTTCCTGGTTTTATTATTGTAGTATGATTATGTATGTATGTTGTTAACATTAGGATCAGGTGAATGATAGGTATGTGTAAATTTGGTACTATTTTTGAAACTTTTTTGTAAGTTGAAAATCTTCAAAATCAATGTTAGTCATAAATTTGATAAATAAATAATAAATATAAATTGTCAGTATGTATGAAGTAGTATACATACACATATTTCCTAGTGTATTTTGGAGACAGGGCTTCATAGCAATGACCCTCCAGTAGCATCGAGCACGTCTAGTGCCCAGACCTTGGTTTCTAATACCATTCTCCAATAAAGGAACTAGTGCTCCCCGGAGAACAGGTAGGTTTTAGGACTGATGCAGGAAAAATACAAAATGATCCTGGTATATCTTGTAATGGTAAAAATGAGAAATTGCTTCAAAAATGATGGGGACCATGTCAGAAGGATATAGGACCCAAAAGTAAGGAGCTCCCAATGTACAAACCTGGAACAATTTGAGCAACAAAATAAATAATGACATTATTGGATTATACCCATAGAATATAACGAATGACCATGAGCTCATACCGATATAAATACATAACTAAACAGATAAGAAGTTGGGAGAGAAAAAAGATCCACTTTTTCGGGGGAAGAATTCCAATTAATATATAAAGAGGGAAAAAAGGAAATATAAAATCACCAGTATGCAAATACTACAGTAATAGCTGCTACAGGCAAAATCCTTTGATGGATGCTAATATCAGAGGTGAAAGGTTGAGGAGAAACAGGATATTAGCATAGACTTCAAATACTTTCCCTAAAAAACATATCACCAATAATGGGATAAAATACAGTAACTCTACAGTGAAAAATACCAGCAGACACTAGAAAATATCAGAAGAACCCAAATCGAGAAATATTCTACAAAAGTAACTGATCAGTGTTTATCAATAGTGTCAAGGTCATAAGAGATAAGGAAAGTGGAGAAAGTGTCACAGATTGGAGAAGACTAAGGAGACATGACATCTACAGGCACATGGAATCCTGGATTGGATTCTGACACATGAAAAAGATAGGGGATAAACTAGTGATATTAAAATGAGGTATGTAATTTAGTTAATAGTATTATATCAATTTCTTGGTCTTATTGTTGTAGTATGGTGTATTAGGAAGTTCTTACATTGCTATAAAGAAATACCATAATTCATAAAGAAATGAGGTTTAATCGGCTCACAGTTCTGCAGGGTGTACAGGAAGTATGGTGGCTTCTGCTTCTGGGGAGGCCTCAGGAAACTTACAATCATGGTGGAAGGCAAAGGGAAAGCAGGCATATTTTACATGGCTAGAGTAGGAGGAAGAGAGGGAAGGGGGAGGTGCCACATACTTTTAAACAACCAAATCTCAGGATAACTCACTCACTCATTCACTCACTATCATGACGACAGTAGCAACGGTGATGGTGTTAAACCATTCATGAGAAACTGTCAACATGATCCAATCATCTCCAACCAGGCCCCACCTTCAACACTGGGGATTATAATTGAACATGAGATTTGGGTGGGGACACAAATCCAAACCATATCATATGGTTACGTATGTATGTTGTTAACATTAGAATAAGGTGAGTGATAGGTATATGTAAATTTTGTACTACTTTTGCAACTTTTTTGTAAGTTGAAAATCATTTTGAAACAAATGCTAAAAAATAATTTGACTTTAGGAAGATCGAGAATAAAGAATAACAATTGGTAAAGCTACTTCTTTACCAAAGTCCCTGGGATATAAAGCTTATATGTCAAGTTTAATGCATATATACTAAACCCCTGGTAAGTAAGAATCTTCTAATTTGAAATTTTATTCATTCAGATAAAGGCTTGGCTAAAAGTTTCATTTTAAGTGATCGTCCAGAAAAGATTGTGTATGTTCAGGAGAATGTTAAGATTTCTAAATTAAACAGAGAAATGCTTTAAGCAAAAATGACATACTAATTAAAGCTCATTCTTATTTCTGGAAGCATAAAAAGATCACACGTGGTATTACCTGGCAGATAATAGGTAGCCAATAAAAAGTCAAGCTTAAATTTAAAAATAAGTCCCCTAATGCCTTCTAGAAGGCAATAATTTGATGTTTGTATCCTTGCTCTCTCAATTAGTACAGATTACTATGACTTCTCTGTGTAAATGGATACAGATTTATCAAGAAGGATCACAGACACTTCCATAAACTGCCATCATAGCTCTCAAGTGGCTATTCCTCTGCTGAATTAAGAGGTTTCAGATGGAATAATTTGACTTCCATCTTGTAACTGATTTGCAGAATGAGGCATATACTTTATCATTTTGCTTCCAAGCTATCAATGTCTGCATCTTATAAATGTCCGGATGTAACTCTAAATTAAACTTTTCTTACATTTTAAAGGTTGATTTAGCAGGTTTGTGATGTTCATACCTTCACTGGCAATTCACAAGCAATCTGATGTCTAGTGATCACAGATCAAAATGGATAGGAATCAATGCATGGCACAACAGAATTAAAATAATGTTTTTCAATTGTGAGGCACTTAGAAGAAATGGATTTTAATATCTATCAATTCCACATGTAAATCAAATGAATCCTGAAACTAGCTTCTCCAAATCGAATTCAAAGGAAATGTAGTAAGGACACGTAGTAACCATTCAACACAATTCATTGTTAAATTTTTTTAATATTGCATGGCCACTATTAAAGTATTTGAAATTTTGATCTCAAAACCCAAGACTCCTATGTGAGTTAGGAAAAATAAATATAAATCCTCTATGAAGAAACTGGAAGACTGAATGCAGCCTATAGGCTCAGCCTTTCATCTGGCCACATGCTGCAACCTGAAATCATCGTTCTCAGGCTTGACCTTTCCTCTCACTTTGTTCTGGCAGCTTTCCAAAGAGGGATAGGTGGTTTTAGGGCATTTTCTTGTGTTACAAATCAAATAATATTTCATGGCTTTCACCTTTAATGGGCTAAGCAGAAGGCATTCGACACAAGTCACTAGGGAGGCTTGGGGAAATTATTTATACTCTAGGGCATTCTTAAATCAGTAACTTGGCAATTTGGGATTCAAAAAACGTCACTGGTATCTCGAATGTTTCATTGCAGAAGCTGCATCATGTATATTTGTGTTGTTCCTTGGGGGACTTAATGTCCAGAAACCAATGAATAATTACCTTGGTCCTTACATATTGTGTTTTCGTTGGTGACAATCATGCCACAGGACATGCAATGAAGCAAGGGGCTGCTTTGTGATATTCTTGCCAGTGAAGGAAATGAATGCCTTTTGGGGAAGGTTTTTGTAAAATTAACAACTTTCATGCTTCAGCTTAAAATCTAGAACTTGGTAATGGCCAGAAGAACGTAATTCTAGATTTCGTGCAATGAGAATTGCAAAAAGTCATAACCAATAGAAAATCAATTTCCTCTTGAACTGACTGCAATTATGAAATGTCAATATGTATGATAAATATAATTATTAAAGGGTTTCTGAGTCTAAAAACATATTTTGGAGAGCGATTGAGGCATGGCCGTTAAATCATTATGTTAAGCATTCTCATATTTGCACTGTTAACATTCTAGCTGCATTTAATTAAAGAGGTTGGAGCATATAGACAAAGGCTCATTCTGAGAGTACACAGTGATTAGCAGGCTGTTGAATGTTTAATATTTAGGGGTAAAGGCAGTATGATTTCACAGGGAAGAAAAATGCAGGCCATCTGTATGGAGCCCAAGATGGGGAATTCCAGGTACAATCTGTCAGAGTTGATTACGTTGGCCACATCTGGGCTGTGAAAACCCTCCAATGGTTTGTGACATCCCAGCTTTTGTCCCAGGAACATAGAACACTACTATTTTCAGTATTCAATTGGATGTTTCCACTTTTGGTCCCACTGTTTCTCAAATCCAACAAGACCTAAAGAGATAGAAGAAATCCATATTTGCCATTCCCCGAACTAGCTTCCTGTTTGCTAACAGCACTGTCTTTCTCTCAGGCACTTATCTCAGTCATATCTGATGTATTTTTTGCTTTGCCCTCTTCTTTCAGTCACCTCTATTTAGACCCGGAGTCCTATAAATTTTTATGTCCAACTCTACCATTATTGCTGCCTCCCTTTCTCCTTTTGTGCCATGCTTAGATGACCTATCTAGTCTTACTACCACAAGTCTCATCCATCTGAATCCATCTTTTACTTAGCTGCCAGATTACTATTTAGATCCTGACATTCCCTGGATAAAAAAACCCTGTGCCTTGTCATTGCCTACAAGGCAAAAGAAGGTCAAGTATTTGGCCTGACTTTTAAAGCTTCCACTGTCCAATTCTGCCCAACCTTACCTCCATGTACACAACAGCAAGTAAGTCTATTTCAGCTGCGCTGGTTTTCTCACAAGCTCCAAAGCACATCATACTTATTCCTACCTTCCTACCACTGTTTTTCCCCCCCTGGTGTCACCAAGCACTTATTCATTTGAGCAGGGGTAAGGCCATCTCTGCTGGGATGGGTCTTGCATCTCAGGAACTAAGGCAAATCCAGAAACAGGGATAAGAAGAAGCTTGCTTGATGAAGTGCATTTCTACTCTTGTCACTTCAGTTCTGACTGATTAACAATTAGTTGATAATTCTCCACTGGTTTCCAGGTTGCCCTTATTATGCGTTTGGCTTACATGTTTCTGGTGTCTTGATGTTTTCCTACCTGCTTGCTTACTCTCTTGCTTCCTCCTTTCTACTTTCTGTTCATACCTTCACAGGTTATTCACCTGCACAGGAGCCCACATTTCTTCTGCCCTCAGTGCTCTGTGAATGTGCCTTAACCCTTGGTGATTTACATAAATTATCTAGTTTAATCCTCACAATGCTAAGAGGTACGTACTATTATCTCCAGTTGCTGGATGAGAAAACTGAGATTTATGCAGGTTAAATTATGTTCCCTAAGTCACACAGGTTATAAGTGGTGGAGTCAGGATTCAAACTCATGCAGTGACTCAAGGACTGGTGCTCTTACCTATGTCTTCTACATTTAACCAAAGCCCACTTTGAAAGCACACATCTCATCTCTTTGGAAAATGATAATTTCTCAGATCTCAGGTCCAGGTTATGTGGTTTTTATTTTTGGTGTGTTTACCATGTATGTGCCTAGTCTAGGTCTAAGCAAAAAGAAACCATCCAGTGAAATTTTTTTTAGGAAAATGAAACATATTCAGAGGTTGAGCCATGTCAAGCAAATTATAGATGTTTTAATGGTCTAAGCCTGCCTGTCCAATACAGTAGCCAGTAGCTACATATGGTGATTGAAATTTAATTAAAATAGCTTGATTGTGGTAATTACTTCACAATGTATATGTATATCAACTCATCACATTGTACACCTTAAATATATACAAATTTTATTTGTCATTTATTTCTACCTCAATAAAACTGGAAAAAATAAGTAAATAAAAAATTTAGTTTCTAAGGCACACTAGCCACATTGTAAGTGTTCAACAGCCACATGCAACTACATTAATTACATTAATTAATTACATTAATTAAAATTAAATAAAATGAAAAATTGAGTTGCTCAGTCTTACTAGACATATGTCAAGCATTCAACCACCACATGTGGCTAGTGGCTGCTATGCTGGTAGCACAGACATAGAACATTTCCATCATCACAGAAAATTCTATTAGACAGTGCTGGCAATATCAGATTCTCAATTTCTTCCAATATAGCTTATCAATCCTTGTAGTCACAGATTAACAGTTACTTCCTAAATGCTCAGCAGGAGTTAATTGGTACCGTGGTTAATAACCCTGGTACTGAAGCCAAAACCTGGAACTGCAACTTACAAGTTGTATGACCTTGAACAGGTCACTGAAATTCTCTGGTTTCAGTTTTCCCATCTGCAAAATGGAGATCATAATATTAACTACTTAATAAGGTTGTTTTAGGGTTAAAAGTTTAAAGTAATCACAATATTGTCTGGTATAAAGTAAGTGCTCAATAAATACTATTAGGTATTTTTTTATTTATATAATGTTTTCCTAATGAGATCTAGAACCATAGAAATAGAAGAATAGAATTTCTTATAACTCTTGCTTAATTTTATAATTTAGATATTATGGTTGCAAGTGAGTAGCAAGACACATTTAAACATTTTCTCCGGGACAAACTCGGGAAGCGCATATCTGGATCTTTAATTAATAAAGTGTGGTATTAGGCACATGTTAAACTGGGTCACCAAGAACTTGCCGAACATTTTAAATTCAGCCACAGGGATTTAATTGAAAAATACTGCAAGGCTGGCTAATGAATGGACATATGTGTTTCATTTAGTGCAGAAGCCTTTTATAAGTAAGCTCCTATGCCTGATCCTCATCCTCCAAGTGCTCTGTAATAATTGCAAAATTATTCCTGAAGTCCTCTTAGGACTATTGATGATTTTAGTTCTCTCGTCTGGTTGAGTCATAACAGTAGGCTTTGGACTATGGAATACATTTCTATGTATGTTCAACTCAGAAGAGTTTGGAACACTCAACTATTTTAAAGACGAAACTGATCTAACAATAACTAGAGGCACTGAATTTAAAGAACCAGGATACACATGTGCCAGTGATAATACCAAGGGCTACAAAGAGCTGTTTAGTTGAACGATTGTGGTGGATTTTGAGAATACCCTCCTCCTGAAGTCAATGAACTCAGGTAGAAAAGAGAGATTTTGCTTCCTATGAGATAACTAATCTCTTCAAGCTGGTGTGAAACAATCCGAAAGATAAATGTAGCGCTGAGGTAGGAGAGGGTCACTGCCGGGATTCATTCAGTCTGAAAACTCTACCAGCTCTTGCGACCAAATGGGTAGCCATTGTTACTTCTAAAACTTTCTCACATCTGCTGATTTACTCATTTCACCCAGTAGAATTATTAGGCCCTTTTTCAAATCAGCTAATTTCCCGAGCCTTGAGATTTTAGTGGTGAATATTGACAGCCTTATTTGGCATCTAATTATCGCTGTTATGTTTCTAGAAGATTCCTGCCTCTTAAAGAATAAAAATGTGATGCATACAGATATATCCCTGCTTGGGGTAATGCCATATATTCAACTACTTACTTTTCATTTCTCTTTCTAATTTTCACTTCTTCAGAGGTTATAATAAAGGAAATTCTTAGCGTAGCAAATTATTTAAATCTATGCAAAGAAAAAAATCGAGGACATATCTTTTTCATGTGGGATTTATATATGAGCTGTTATTTGAAGGACAAGGCATATTTCATGCTCTATTTTAATTTAAATTCTCTCCTGGATATCTGACCAAGTATCTATGGACACGATATTTTTAAAGAGTTACAACCATAAGTTTTCATACACCATGAAGCTTCCCAAAAGCTTAAATTACTTCCATTAATACTTATACCCACTCCCTCTTTAGAGTAACAAAAGGAAAAGATCTATTTAACCACTAAAATAAGTCACTGAGACCGTCTCTTCTAACCTGGTTTCCACCCCTGGTTCCTTAGAGAGTTGTTCACAATAAACAAGTCACAAAGACAGCCAGATGAAGAGATTACAGCAGTCTCTTTTATAATTGTTAAAGAAACAACCCTGAGGAAAAAGAAAACTCATTTCAAAAATGACTCAAATATAAAGACATGATTAGCAGTTCTACTTTTGAGATAACTATGAATTAAAGGAGGTTTCAGAGCAATCGAAATATATATATATCCACACACACACATATTCAAAGTAAATACTATGTCAGAAAAGAAGTCTAAGTGCCATCATTTAACACTTTCATGATTAAAATATTTTAATAAAATGTTGCCACATTGCACAAAGATGTGTTAATTCATTATTTGGGTTAAAATAAGGCTTTTCACTTTAGCTGCTAATCTTGAGACTTTTAAAGTAATCGAAATGCCTCAGGAGGTAAACCGCCTTCCTTTATTCTATTATATTGGTCACCACGTGAAGGACTCTGGTTATGGTGGCCGTGGGACTTGTTACAACTTTGCTATTTGTGAATAGCTATGTGGTTTGATGTTTTCTTTAACGATCCAGTTACTTAGCTCTATGTTCCTTACTTTCTAGTTCTACATCACAATAATTTCTTCTATCACATGTTCCTTTTATCTCCTAAAATTTGAATAGCTAAGAATGTCATTGGGCTAATGTGCAGAGTGTTAAGATTTTTGCCTGGGTTTCTGGCCTTCTGGAATAGATTTAATTCCACTGTAAAGAATCATCAAATATTTTCTTTTGGCATGACAAAAGTCAGGCACCTGTGTCATAGCTTGAACTTGAAAACATGACAGTGAAAATTGTAACATGTTATTAAAGTCAAATGTCAATTACTAAAAACAAGTACGTTTTATATATAAATAAATTAAACTACCTATAGAAAATACATTGAAGAGTAAACTAAAATCAAAACGCAAAATTCCAAATTCAAAGGCAAATTCTCTAACTACCTTGAATAGTTTTAATGTGCTCTGCTTTCTCTTGGTCAACTAAATTCTTCTGTTGTTGTTTCTCATAGAAATTAAAAAGCTTGATAAGGCATAAGTCGTACTTTAGTAAACTTCCTATCATATTATATATATTTTAATATATATTTATATCTATATTTAGTAAACTTCCTATTATACATGAAATATTTTGCTTCCTAATGAATTTTAGTTGCACAATAGGTATGCCTCATTTCAGACCATTGCTTTGTGCCAATATTATTTTGTACCATAAATCTCATCTTGAAAATCTCGATTACACAGTATCATTTACAGTAATCAGTAAATAAGAAATGGAACAATTACTATTATTAATTGCATAGAAGTTGAGTGTACAGGAACTAGAAATAAATGGATGAACAAAAGTTGGAATTGGGCGTAAAGGAAATACACACACCCACACACACATCCCCTAGAATGACGACTTGCCTATTGTATCCAGCAATTTTAGGTCTGATGTATGTTGCCTCCTTTGATCCATGGGAAAATTGCTTGATTCAAAATAGAAATTGTGCTTCTGTGAATCCCTTGAGTTGTTGCCTCAAGATCAACATTAGTAAGTGTTCAGAGGTTAAGAAATGCCTGTCTCTATATCTGCTGAATACCCACACATTATGCCACCAACCTTAAGGCATTAACCCTATTGTATCACATAAAAACACTTTCACATATGCAGAGTTCAGAGTAAACCGTTTTCTAAACTTAGGTAATTGATAGCAAATGTAGCCAGCGACAGGCTGTTGGGTGCCAGCCAACTCTTTTCTTTCTTTCTTTCCTTCCTTCCTTCCTTCCTTCCTTCCTTCCTTCCTTCCTTCCTTCCTTCTTTCTTTCTTTCTCTCAGCAAGTAGTTAGTACGGCTTATGCATCCTGCCAGCATTACATGAGAACACAACATATGATAAATGCCCACAAGAAATGAGAAATATTGAGTCAATGACTGTAAAAGAAAGACAGAGGGTTGGATGGTGTTAGATTTCACCTGACAGAAAACAGTGTTCTTTGTTTTTTTAAAAAAGTCTTTCCTGGTGCTTTCACGAATGCTCAAGGGCAAATGCGAGTCCTCTAGCTAACAGAACAGATTTTAAAATAATTGCTTTGGCTTTTGTTCCTCAATTTCAGGGTTGCGTTTCTAGACTGTATTATTAAATAGGCTCTTGTATTACATAAAGTAGAGATGAAGAAGCCTTGAAAGTTTGCTGCTATATACAGCTCTTGGGTTTTTCTTTTTCTTTGGTTTAAAGGAAATCATTTTCTATGTTTAGATTCTAGAGGTTTTTGTAACATGGTATTTCAGGAATATCAGCCAGTGTCATATCATATTTACTATGGAATTATTTGTAACTAAAAGAGTTTCTTGTCAGAATTATATTATGGACTTTTATGCCTGAGAAGGTCTTTGAAAGAACAGTATCTTACGCAAATGCTTGAAATCGTTCCTTCTGCCTATTTTATCTCCTAAAATGCAACATAACACAGTCCTGTACATTTTACAAAAGAAAATCTGAGTTTCCTCAGTAGAAACAATAAATGTTTATTTTCTAATATCAAATAAGGCTTATCTAGCAACATTTTCCCAAACACAAAATTACGAATGCACAAATTACCATGAGAATTGACAACTCTTGTAGGTTCCAAGAAAGTCATTTGTGCACCAAGTAGCCATTTATTACATGACATTAGTCATTGGACTGACCTAACACAGCTTCCTTGTGGCTGGCTCTAATTTACAACTTGATAGCAGCTGTCACAATGAAAGAATCAGGTACATTATCTGATTTGTTTCTGCCATCCCTGCACTCATGAGTCCATTAACAACAGGGATATGTGATTTTTAAATTACTGAATTAGTTATACCTCCATTAAAAGAAAAGACTTACAAAGTAAAATAGAACAGCCTCTTAGAATATTCCCTTCCATTTCTCTGTACAGTTGGGTCCATTATTCGATTCAAAGAACATATACTGGGTACTGTTCTCTATTCTGTTCTCTAACAGGGGCCTTATCTGTTCTCTATTCCATTCCCATGCCTAAACCAAAACAAAGTCCACAGTAGGCACTTAGTAAACATGTGTTGGACTAATGAATATGTGACAGAATCAGTGAATAGTGCCCACTTCAGGGTCTCTCGGCCTGCCACAGATGCAGTGCCCACCTTGGGTTTCATGTTTGATACTCTTATGACAGTTTTCAGTCTTTGGGCTGCCTGGCAACTTAATAATTGGCAAGTTTGAAAAGAAGAAGCCCAGAAAGTTTGATATCACTGGTGTGTCTGGTCTATGAGTGCCCAAGGCTTAAATTTAAAAATACTAGCGGCTTTGCTGGCTTCCCCCACAACACCCTTTGGAGGGCATCTAAATCAAGATAACTCAACTTTTTGCTGATGAAAAATAACACAAATCTCATCAGTTCAAGACAGTAGTAGTGGGCAGGTGAGACTTGATCATAGAAAATGTCAAAAATAAAACAAACGAGCATTTAAGAACCACTGACAAATCATGCTAGACCTATTGAGAGTGATACGGGAAACAAACTGTCTGAGGGCTTTGGTGTAACAATTATATATGCTGTGGCTATTTAACATCAATTATGTTTGACAATGCCAATTCAATACAATCTTATTTGCTATTTTATTCTACACTTAACAAAGTAGGGCTTCTCTGACTCCCCGCTGACTAAGTTAAGTCCCCCAGCTGAGTAAAGGCTTAGCACCCCATGCTTCTGTTATCCTAACACTTTGTCATAGTTTGTTATAATTATTTTAACTATGTTAAATTCCCTAAGGGCAAAAAATGTATATGCCTAGCTTACCCAATATAGTGAGTTGAATTATTAGGGTCTTTGCTAACTGGGGTAGCCTAAATATTAGGTTGCATAATTGGGACAAAAACACTCAGGTCTCACTTTTATACTTGATGTTAGAAGCATTCTCTAACACTTAGGGATAAAAAGTAGTATGAAATAATACAGAATCCCTGCCTTTGTCTCATCAACCTTTGCCTCTCCTCATTGGCAACATCTTTTAGAAATCTCTCTCTGGTTCTCATAGTCTATAAAATCTTAGAAGGTACCAGATGTTTGCAGAAGCTGTCCCACACATCCTCAATTTTAAAGTAGATGTAAGATTTACTATAGCTATATAAATGTAATTCAGCCTTGACTTTTGTGTTCATGAGCTAGTTGTAATCTGCAACATGGCCTCTTGTGAAATAGAACAATTCTTATCTATGGAGCGTTGATAACAATGCCAAACACTCAAAATAACCACAGGATATTACTGAAGCGAGTTCTGCCCACAAACTGTTTCTCCCTCTAGGAGATTTTAATTTAACACAAACATTTTTCAAGAAAACCATTTTGCATTTGGGCAGCATGCAAAAGCTAGGCTGGGATAAGTTTTGTATGAAAATACGGCAATACCTGGGATAAGTGCCTGAGCAGAGACTGTTAATGCCTTAAAACAGGGTTTTCTCCTACCGCACTGCATAGTTTCTAATAGTGACAATAGGCTAAAAGCCACTCTCCTGTTTCTTCTGGTCCTGCCTAGCTCAGGGGTGCTACGTAAGACACCATTCATTTGGATGCAGCAAGTGGAATCTGGGTTGTGCTTTATCCTGGGGAACCCCATACACTACTTACTACAAAGCAAGTGAAGGGGCGGGCCTGAGGCTGATGAGGATTTTTAAGTACTCTAAAATAGGTCTAGCGGCATTTTTTCAATGTTGTAAGGAAGTTTTCAAAGAAAAGTTCTTCATGTAAAAATGGAGTTTCTTTTTCTTATAACAGTTACTTGGTAAGAATCTTTTGAGCAATTCCTCTGTGCAGGGAACTGAGTTAAACTTCCTGGAGGAGGACTTTGAAAATGCATCCTAAATAGACTCCTGATTTTTTCGAAGAACACACACACACACACACATGCACGCACACACACACGCACACACACACGCACACGCACACGCACATGCACACGCACAAACGCACAAACGCACACACGCATGCATGCACACACGCACACACACCCCAACTACAGAACTTCAGTAGTGGTTGGAATACCACAGAAGTTTTTACTGGAATGCTTAAAACACTTAACTTTCTTTTGACATGATCCAGACACTGACTGAACTCTAAACAGTCACTAACCACTTTCAATTAATTTGTGGCATTGTAAAGACTGGGAGGATGTGCCCCCAGTTTGACTCTTGTTTTTATTGACGGTCGATTGCATACCACTGTTCACATTTTAGATAGGCACATTATAATTAAAGAAAAACATCTATAAGATGTACAAACTGGGACATTTGTGTAGCTAGCAGGGAAGGTACATGCAACTGACAGCAACAGGAGTGAAGGTTTTGATGAAGAGATGCCAGAAGCCCAAAGTGATGGGCTGCAGGTGCTACCCAGAGAGAGGGCTATTATATATAATTTTTGTTGGATTACCGATTTGCTCACTGATCTTTGCTGCCGCATTTATGAACACTGTAACACTGTCATCTGAGATGTATCTGTGTGGAAAATGGAGTTGGCACATTTGACTAATTCATGCCATAAATTTGTGAACTAACACTTCACACCCAGACAAGTATTAGCAAGAGCACATTTTTCTCCATAAGTCTGTATTGGTGGTCAATTCTCAATGCCACAGCAGAACCCAAAGAAGGAAAACTGGAAGAATTTTCTCAAAGACATCTAGGACTAATTAAAAAAAGAGACAGAGGGGACGGGCACGGTGGCTCACACCTGCAATCCCAGCACTTTGGGAGGCCGAGGCGGGCAGATCACGAGGTCAGGAAATCGAGACCATCCTGGCTAACACGGTGAAAACCCGTCTCTACTAAAAATACAAAAAAATTAGCCTGGTGTGGTGTCGGGCGCCTGTAGTCCCAGCTCCTCGGGAGGCTGAGGCTGAGACAGGAGAATGGCATGAACCCGGGAGGCGGAGCTTGCAGTGAGCCGAGATCGTGCCATCGCACTCCAGCCTGGGCGACAGAGCAAGACTCCCTCTCAAAAAAAAAAAAAAAAGACGGGAAGAAAGGGTATGAAATACGTTCATATAGGACGAACCACCACGCTTGCTTTTCATTAAAGTACATCCAGCAACACATAGTTGGTTCAAATTTTAGTTTTGAATCCAGTGATTTTCCAGACATTCCATTTCACATCAAATCGGTATCTAGGAAACTCAATTGATCGAAAGCATAAGGATTTGTTTTCCGTTAAAACAGCCAGTAAGCACTGAGGACAAAAAGCCAATTAAGAAGTCACTGCTGCTCTTACAAGTTAAAAAGCCTATATTCTCATTCTTAATCATGTCCTGCTCTAAGTAACAAAACCCACATGCCCATCTTCTTCAATAACTTGCAGGCTGACTGAAGCCAACTGAACTGTGCTAGGAATTAGGGCATTTCAACTAAAAATATGGATGACTATATGACTCCAAATGATGCTACGAGGTTTAATCTGACTTTAAAATAAGCAGATCTTTTTAGATTTCTTGATGAGTGTACCTTTTTATCAGCATTAGTTGGGTATTCTGTCTTTGCTAAAAAATCCAAATCTTCTAAGATCAAGTTTATTTTTAAAAATTCATAACCCCTCCACAATTTTAGCAAAGAACAAAAATCTTAGTAAAGAATCATGTCATTTTGTGTCAGAAGGATAACTTAATGATTAACTTTTAAAAATTCCTTCATTTTTCAAATAAAGTAACTCATGATCATACAAAGAGATTTTGTCCTCCCACTGTGGGGAGAGGTAACGGCACTTCAATTTATTTTTTCTGAAATAAAACCATTTCCTCTGGCCTTTCTAAGCAAAATGGTGAATTAGCCAATGGGTTTCATTATCAGAGCTGAGGCCTGTTAACCTAAGCACATCTTTGTACAGTGAGCTTCAGTTTCTCTGAATTCTAACATCTTTTTTCTATCCTATGCAAATCTTAGTTGTCAGAACACTTTACTTGTGCATGCTCGTTTAGAGGTTTGCATAAATGACGAAGGCCCTCAGAGGCTGACAAATGCCACTGCTATTTTCACCACTCTGCTTGTCACTGTGTAATTGCAGTAAATGCAATTGAAAGTACTTTTATTTGAAGGCTATTTGACAGAGGGGGAGAAAACACATTTACTCTTTCAAGGCCTGTGTATTTTCCTGGGAGAAGCCTGCCTATGAAATTTGTCCTTTTATCCTTGGATGGCAATTTGTGAACTGTCTTTGGGCCATGCAACCACTTGAATGATTTCTGCAACCCAAGAACAGAGCCTTGATTCAGAGACCTTCCCCTCCATTCTCCCCACCTCCCTGCCTCCTGCCCTCTAGAGACTGGAAGGCTGTTTCATGCTTGTGTGCTTAAAGCCTTCTTTTCCACAGAATGAGATAGAAAATTTGCATATTTTAGCCAAAGTATTGATCTATTTTCATTCTAGGAGTTCAAGGAAAGAATTGTTTGCTAATATGTGTGGCTATGCTGAGGTAATACAAATAAAAAAGAAATAGTACAGTGGACTTTTTTTTTTTTACAAGATTCTTTTCTAAAGCGTCCTTTCTCACGGGAGTGCATGGAACTTCAACAAGATTACTTTTGTTTTCATCAGAGAGAACAGTTAGCTCAATATAGCTGGGTTGCACAATCTTTAACAGGACTGTCCCATATAACATACAGTAAAAACATTAGGAAAATGTAAAATAATGTTTATAATTTGCTAAACATGGTTTTAAAAACCATCCTAGTCTCTAAAAGTCATCATAACATTTTTTTTTTTTGAGACAGGGTCCCACTCTGTCACCCAGGCTGGAGTGCAGTGGCGCAATCACAGCTCACTGTAGCCTCAACCTCCGAAGCTCAAGCAATCCTCTCACCTCGGTCTCCTAAACAGCTGGGACCATAGATGTGTGCTACCACGCCCAGCTTATTTTTTATTTTTTGTAAAGATGGGAATCTCACTATGTTGTCCAGGCTGGCCTCAAACTCCTGGGCTCAAGCAATCCATCTGTACTGGCCTCCCAAAGTGCTGGGATTACAGATGTGAACCACTGTGTCTGGTTTCTTATAACTTCTGACCCACCCATCAAGCCCCATAAACACTTGCTGTTGTCCCGTCTCTGTTCTCGGATCCATTTAAACACTTCTTACCTATAAACAGATTCCACTCTGTGTCGAGGTCAGCCTGATTTGCCAAGCAGCCCTTCATGACGTTGAGACAGTAGTTGTTGCAGGGCCTCACAGTGGGAAGCCCCCGACAGTATGGGCAGTACAGCATCTTCATGAGGGCACGGATACACCCTGGGGTTGGGCTGACCTGCAGATTTATTGCAAAGAAAAAGAAAATCAAAAATAAGAAGGATAAAGAGGAGGAAAAAAAGACAAAATAGCAGTGATAAACCACAAGCAGAATCTTAACCCTTTGTAATTACTGATCTTGAATCCATCCAATTCCTGTTGAATTCTTCTGCTTGGCATAGTAATAACTTTTTTGCATGTCCCTGTCAACATTTTCATATCGATGTCATTGTAATTCAGCCCTAAAGCCTAGACACTGTTTCATTGCCATAGAAGATGGAATGAGATAATGCATGTGAAAGCAGTTTGCAAAGTTAAAAGCCCCATAAAAACGTAGGTATTATTAAAGTTTAATGTGACACATTTAGAAAATTTTCCAACTGCTTATTTGACCCTGTTTCTAAAGGAGGTTGGCAGATATATTTCCTTTGTACATAACGTTTCTTCAAAGATCAATATCAACTTGTCTGAGATCTCTAAGATCCAGGCCTGCTTAGAAGCAATGGAACTGCCAAGGTACCATCTTTGGGCATCTGCAGCTTTTGCACTTCTGGAAAATTCATGGAAAATTTCAGGGACCAGTGTTAAATGTGAGAAGCAATCCTTGCAGTAATTCAGAGGAGCTACGTATCCACTGACAATGAAATCCTATTTGCCCTGGATCAGAAAATCAGGGCTCCTCAATTAATCAATTCTAAACCAATAAGGGCTTTTTAAGACTCATTAAGAATTCTAATTTGACTTCAAGAGGAAGGAATATTTAAGACAGGATATGGTCCCCACCCAAATCTCATCGTGAATTATAGTTTCCATAATCCCCACATCATGGGAGGTGAATCATGGGGGCAGTTACTCTCATCCTGCTATTCTTGTGATAGTGAGGGAGTTCTCACCAGATGTGATGGTTTTATAGGGGGGCTTTTTCCCCTTTTGCTTGGCACTTCTCCTCACTGCCACCATGTGAAGAAGGATGTGTTTGCTTCCCCTTCTGCCATGATTGTAGTTTCTTGAGACCTCCTCAGCCATGCTGCACTGTGCATCAATTAAACTTCTTTCCTTTAAAAAATTATACTCTCGGGCAGTGCTTTATAGTAGTATGTGAGAATGAACTCATACAAGATAGTGGAGACCAAAATTAGAAAGCAAATACAGAAAACTACTCTTATTCATGACTAGATGTAAAAATTGTTGCCATATTCATTTGGTTGGTTCCATATCACTTTGATATTTTAGTCAAGTAACTATACATTGCTGTACTTGCATTCTAGATCTGAGGAAAAAAATCTAATTTGTATCATTTGGCCCTCTTGGAGAGTGGTGGACTTGAGCTCACAGGTAACAAGAACATTCAGATGCTGAAGAAACATAACACCAGTGTATTGATGGAACAACAAGAAATATTTCCACATAAATGGATACTTTCAATTACTATAGCTATTTCTCTATGATTCTATCCCTTACCTAGGATCAATTTTGAGATTCTTAATGCAAGCCTTTGGTTTCTGTAACATTTTCTTAATTTTACCCAGTATGTTGACAAAATCACTAAAAAAATTATTTTAGGAAATAAAGCTGTCTATTTAGGCACTAAAATTTCTAGTTGTCCTTTTGAGTTTTTTTGCATTTTCTTTCCAAAATTTTATGAAAGTTTTCAAACATGCAGAATAGGTGAAAGACTTTTACAGTTCACAGCCACATTTCCTACATGGTACAATTTACGTTTTTCTACAGTTGCTTTTTCACACATCTGTCCATCCTTCTACCCATCCTCATTAACCTACCTCATTTTTCATGCCAAAGTAATATCCTTTAATTTTTTTTATCCCAGAGTAATATCCTTTTCATTTTTACTTTTCCTGATAATTCAATACTGGCTTGAATAAAATAGAATCAACATGATCAACAATAGAAAGTCAGTGAGTAAAATACTGTAAGTCAAATAAATGAAGTAAAATATAATTGGCCTTTCTTTATAAAGGTATTCATAGAAGGGTTTCCTATCGATTAATTCTAAAACTCATTTTCCAACAACAAAACAGAAACAATAAATGGGTATAAAGGTGAGGAGTCTGTTGACTTTTCTTTTAAGGATATATTAATGCCATTATGTAATCTCCAGACAGGCTATTTTGTAGATAGAGCCAAATTTGTCCAAGGCCATACCATGCTGAATGCACCCAATCTCACCTGATCTTGGAAGCTAAGGAGGGTTGGGCCAGGTTAGTACTTGGATGGGAGATAGTGCCAAGTTTTACCCGTAACTGAGCAGCACTGTTTCAGAATTTTCCTTTATCACATGTGTCCCAAGCCATTCACAAAAAAAGAAAAAAAAAAAAAACAGGAAAAAGAATTTTGCATTCCTCAGACAATATTAATGTGAAATTTAAAATTCTTACACATTTTCCTTATTGGCATGGTTGCTATCTTGCAAACTTACTGGGCATGGTTACTAACTTGCAAACCTTTACCACAGGATTTTATTTTCTACAGCCTTGCAATTTCTCTCCTGACTGATGCTTTTCTCCAAAGACTACCCAATTTTCACTTGGGCTAACTAAGGTATTTCTACGTTTGAATCTGTTGGGTTTTGGTTATCTCACCATTGGTATTAAATGATGCTGTGCTTCTCACTCAGTGTTCTGGTATTAGAACCTAGAGCATTTGCCAATATTGGGGATATAAATTTGAGATCTCTTGGATGCCAAGGACTGTCTCATTCATTTTTATAACTTTCACTGCTACGCATTTTATAACCTTGTGCTATGCACAACATGCACATCATATAAGGTATTACAATGATGACTTGGGTATTTGTTAAGTGCTTATTGAATCAAATGCTCTATTGTGCTTCCCCATTTCTTGGCCACATTGATATTCAAATTAAAAAAAAGAACAAGATGATTTTATACATCTTAGCATTCAATTGTTGCTTTTTAACTTTGTTTTCAAAGGCTATTGATTGCATTCATTCCAAAGCTTTTCATTTGTTTTTTTCATTGTGTTGGAACCAGTACTATTTTCTCAGTCTGACATTTCAGAAGAGTCTCCAACTCGGGGTAGCAACCAACAGAGAAAATTGAACAGCCTTAATAATCTGAAAGAACAATGTTGTTCAAGTTAAATGTGGGTCTCCTAGTACTTCTGGAAATGATATCCTTCCTGGTCAAATAAAGGGCAGTTGAAGAAGAAGAAAATGGAGCCCAGGGGATCAGAGTCGAAGCTTTCATGTTCACAAATCACATCTTTTGAGCTTACACAAGGGCATGCTTGAATTAAAATAAAAATCATCACTTCAAACTGAAGACTTTTAAAAGTAAGCTTCTGAAAATGTTGCTTTAAATGCCAATTGTGTGAGGAGACATCTCTATTTTTCATAGTGTTTTATAATTGCACAATAGATACTCTTTAAAATCTTTTCATTTTGAAATTAATATAAGCTCAAAAATAGTTTAAAAAATAATAAACTCCTGTGTATCCTTCCTTCAACTTGCCTCAATAGTGACATCTTATATAGCTGTTGTGTAATATAAAAATGAGGAAAGTGACATTAGTACATTGCTATTAACTAGTCTGTAGACCTCAGATTTTAGAGTTTATGAACCTGTATTCACTTGTGTGTGTGTGTGTGTGTGTGTGTGTGTGTGTCTATACACAGTTCTATGCTATTTTATTTCATGTATTCATTTGTGGAACCACCACCACCACAATCAACATACAGAACTGTTCTATCACCATAAAAGAACTCCCTTTTGCTACCTTCGCCTCATCTAATGTCCCCATCACCTGGCAACCACTAATCTATTTTCCAACTCTATAATTTTGTCATTTCAAGAATTCTATATAAATAAAACCATACAATAAGTAACCTTTTGAGCTTGACTTTTTTTTTCTGAGCATAATGCCCTCAAGGTCCATCCAACTTGTTGCATATATTAATAGTTCATCTCTTTTTATTGCTGAGTAGTATTCCATTATTTGGATGTATCAGAATTTATTTAACTACTCTCCCACTGAAGGATATCTGGGTTGTTTCCATTACTTTCTTATTAGGAATAAAGTTGCTATGCGGATTTATGTACAAGTTTTTGTAGAAATATACATTTTCATTTCTCTGAAAGAAATGCCCAAGGGTGCAATTGCTGGATCACATGGTGGTAAGAGTATGTTTCGTTTTGTAAGAAATCGCTAAACTGTTTCCAGCTTGTTTGTAACATTTTACATTTCTACCAGCAATATGTGAGACCTCCAGTTTTATCCAAATTTTTACAGTGTATGTGACTGTCACTATTTTAGCCTTTCCATGGGTGTATCATGTACTTTTAAGTTTATCATGAGTTTCCTCTGGATAATATTTATACCAGTATTTAAGTTGAGTAGATGTCAATGATCCAAAATGATCCACCAACTGGTTTGTGTAAAACATCCAACATTAAAAAAAAAAACTCTGAAAAATTAGATAAGTCTATATGTTTAGCAAAACCAAAATAAAGAAAAGAGTTCTAAAAACTCATACTTAAAATTTAAAATAGAATAACACCTCAAGCTTAGAGGGCTTATGTGGACTATTTGTAAATGTATGGACCTTTAGAAAAAAAATTACTGAAAAAAATGTATTCTTTTAGCAACAATAAAGAACACAATCCCTCTTTAGAAATAAAAAGCTGAGATTATTTTTTTAGTTGGTAATGTGGATTTTTGTTTATTTTTTAAATAATGTAGCTGTAACTTTCCAGATAGTCATAGTAAACTGGGAAATAAACTTGGGTCAAAGAATAAGCTGATGATGACAACATTATTTTTAATACTTATTTGAGCTCTCACCTAACTTTTACATGCTATTCATAATCTTTTATCAAGGACTTATGAAGACATTTCTCCAAAGATGACACAAAAATGGCCAACAGGAACATGAAAAGGTTCCCAACATCATTAGTCATCAGAGGAATGCACTATGAGATGCCATCTCACACCTGTTAGGATAAAAGCAGATGATAACAAGTGTTGGCAAGGGTGTGGAGAAAAATGGAACCCTTGTACATTGTTGGTGAGAAAAGGGATTGATGTGGCCATTAAAGAAAACAATATGGAGGTTCCTAAAGAAACTAAAAATAAAAACCAGTATAAAGTCCAGTAATCCCTTTTCTGGTTATATATACCCAAAGGAAATGAAATCACCACCTTGTAAAGATATCTGCACTTCCATGTTTATTGCAGCTTTATTCACAATAGCCAAGATATGAAAATAACACAGGTGTGCATCATGGAAAGAATGGATAAAGAAGTTGGTATATATGCACAATAAAATATTATTGAGTCTTAAAAAAAGGAGTTCCTGCCATCTGCCACAACATGAATGGACATATAGGACATTATCCTAAGTGAAAAAAGCCAGACACAGAAAGAAAAATATTGCATGATTTCAAATATTTGTGGCATCTGGGGAAAAAGGGTCAATTATATAGAGATAGAGAATAAAATGGCGGTTACAAGGGTTAGGATTGGGTCAGGAAATGGGGATATATAAGTCAAGGATGAAAAGTAGCAATTATGTAGAATGAACAATTTGAAAGATCTAATGTACAAAATGAAGATTATAGTTAACACTAGTGTACTGTATTCAGGACTTTTGCTAAAGAAAAAGATTACAGCGATTCTCTGAGAGGGGATGGGTGACTGGGTAAGATGATGGGTATATTAATTTGTTCCACTACAGTAACCATTTTGCTATGTCCATGTATCTTAAACATCATGATATATACCTTAAAGATACACAGTAAAATTTATTTTGAAAACAATAATCTTTTACAATATTAGTTGGGAAAAAAGAAAATAGTCAATTGTTCCAATTTAATTTTCCCACTACTGAAAAGACAGACACAAGTTTGTGAGCCAACTAAGTGAGATTTTGATAAGAATTCATTACATCTTGGATTTAGTTATTTTTTAATTTTCTGCTTGTGTATAATGATTGACATACATTATTATTTTGTAATTGATATTACAGTTTACTAGTCTTGAAAATATAGTAAAATTTATAACCAACGATCCTTGTAAAATAAACAAAAAGTAAATAAAATAACAAAAATCATTGAGTTCATTTGGAAACTCACTAATTTTTTTTTTATGGCTAAAGTGCAACACATTGAAACATATCAAGGAATACAAAAAGAATCCTTAATAAAGCTGTATTGTGGGGTAGGACAGAGACTTATCTACCTGGCTAGCCATGTATGTCAAAATGTTTTAGCAAGTAATTCTTATGTTTTCTAAACGGGACTTGAGGTATAGCATGTTCTTAGCCATGTAATAATATTTCATTTCAGGTCTCTAATACACTTAAGATTTCTATATCTGGACCAGCATTGATGCATGGATGCTCACATTAGCTATTCCTAATAGTAGCCAATGTAACACGTGACTGTTTCTTAAAATATTAAATAAGCAAGAAAATATGTGAAAGTTAAAAGTATATATATATATATATATACACACAATGAACATACACCTAGCAGATGCTTGTTTCTATGAAAATCATATAACCAAAATAATCAAATAAACATATCTATCTTCTGCTCTCAAAAGATAGATAAGTTAATGTAAGTAAAACATTCAGCTAGAATACATTCTAAATGTCCTTTTGGGCAAGAGTTGATGCTTTCTTCCACAGTTTCTAATGTACAGTCACATTAAATGATGACTCATAAGAGTCATAATGAGTCATAATATGTCATTTAAGATGACTCTTGTGATTATGATCTTTTGATTTTCCTCATAATCTTATATCACCAGATCCTAAAGAATGATTAAATTACATGTAAAGTATCTTTTGTGTTAAATATTTCTGATTTTGATTCTTTAATAGTAACCTATAAATAGGCTTTGTAGTAAGCTCATGGGAAATTAAATTTATTTCATCTTTATTCATTTGTGCAACCTTCATTCATCCATTTACTGGGATGAAAGAAGAAACCTAGTGCCATTATTGGGATGCCCAGAATATGTTCATGTTCAGTCATTTGAGGGAAATAATTATTATCTTGGGGAAATGCAATGTAAAGGGAACCCATAAAAGGACAATTAGCTTAGAACTGAGAAGCCAGAGTAGACAGGGAGGGCTCTTGAAGGAAGGCATGTAACAGACGCCTGTAAGATAAGCATGGAAGATGAGTGATGTCACACAAATGGCAGACACAGTGCCAATAATTAGTCCCGCCACTGAAGAAAAGAGCAAAACTAGCAAAAAATGACATGACAGAATCAACTTTTCAGAACACTGGAATCTAATAAAAACATACAGCAACCAGAAGAGCACTTAGTCAAGAAAGAGACTGATAAATTTCAGTCGAAAAAGCATTACTAAATTTCAAGTCTTAAATTTGAAAAGATTGCAATCGTACAAAGTATATTCTCTGACCACAAAGGAATGAAGCTAGAAATCAGTAACAGAGGGAAAACTGAAAAGTTCACAAGGACGTGAAAATTAAACCACATACGTTTCATACAAACAATGGGTTAAGGAATAAATCACTAGGGAAAATAGAAAATACTTAGATGAATGAAAATGAAAACACAACATGCCAAAACTTATAGCCATAAATGCCTATGTTAAAAGAGAAGAAAGATTTCAAATCAATAACCTCACTTTATACCTTAAGGAACTAGAAAAAAAGGAAAAAACTAAGCCCAAAGCTAGTGGAAGAAAAGAAATAATAAAGATTAGAGTGAAAATAAACAAAAAAAGCAAATAGAGAAACAGCAGAGAAAGTCAATGGAACCAACAACTGGTTCTTTGAAAAGATCAACCAAATCGACCAATTTTCAGCTAGGCTGACTATCAAAGAGAGAAAAGAAAAAGTAACTAAAATCAGAAGTGAAAGAAGGAACATTACTCTCAATCTTACAGAGATAAAGATGATTATATAAAAATGCTATGAACAGTTGTACGCTGTGGTGGATTAAATAGAATCCTGACAAAATGCATGTCCATCCAGAGCCTACAAATAAGACTTTATTAGGAAATAGGGTATTTGCCAATATAAATAAAGTAAGGATCTAGATAAGATCGTACTTCATTAGGATAAGCCCTAAATCCAGTGAAAGTGTCCCTGTAAGAGACAGAAAAGGACACTCAGAGACACAAAGAAGAAGATGATGTGAAGATTGAGGCAGTGACTGGAGCAATGCATTGATAAGCAAGAAATAACAAGGATTACTGGCAACCACCCGCCAGAAGCCGGGAGAGAGGCATGGGACAGTGTTTCCCTCCAAGCATCCAGAAAGAACCACCTGACAACCTGAGTTCCGACTTCTTGGCTTCTGACAATCTGATTTCAGACTTCTAAGCGCCTGAACTATGAAATAGTTTCTGTTGTTTTCAGCCACTCAGTTTGTGGTAATATAATATACACCCACAAATTATATAACCTTAATACAAAAAATCCCTGGAAAGATACACCCTACCAAGACTGAATCATGAAGAAATAAAAAACATGAATAGACCTATAATAAGTAAAGACATGGAGTCAGTAATAAAACACCTCCGGACAAAGAAAAACTCTGGACCAGATGGCTTAACTTGTAAATTCTACCAAACATTAAAGAAGAATCAAGAAAAATCCTTCTTAAACTCTTCCAAAAAACAGAAGATGAGGTAACACTTCCTAACTCATTCTGAGAGAGCAGCACTACCTGATACCAAAGCCAGACAAAGACATAATAAGGAAAGAAAACTGCAGACCAGCAGTCTCCAACCCTTTTGGCACAAGTTTCGTGGAAGACAATTTTTCCGTGGACAGGTGTGGGGGTGGGGGAATGGTTGTGGGATGAAACTGTTCCACCTCGGATCATCAAGCATTAGTTAGATTCTCATAAGGAGCATGCAACCTAGATCCCTTGCATATGCAGTTCACAATAGGGTCCACACTCCTATAAGAATCTATTGCCCCACTGATCTGACAGGAGGTGGAGTTCAGGTGGTAATGCTCACTCATCAGGTGCTCATGTCCTGCTGTGTGAACCCGTTCCTAACAGGCCACAGTCCACGGCTGGGGGGTTGGGGACCCCTGCTATAGACAAATACCCCTTATATATGTTGACTAAAAAGTCTTTAACAAAACACTATCAAAGCAAATCCAAGAGCATATTAAAAGGATTATACAGCCCGGTGCAGTGGCTCATGCCTGTAATCCCAGAATTTTGGGAGGCCGAGGCAGCAGGATCACCTGAGGTCAGGAGTTCGAGACCAGCCTGGCCAACATGGTGAAACCCCATCTCTACTAAAAACAAAAACAATTAGCCGGATGTGGTGGCATGTGCCTGTAGGTACAATTACTCGGGAGGCTGAGGCAGGAGAATTGCTTGAACCTGGGAGGCGGAGGTTGCAGTGAGCGGAGATCGCACCACTGCACTCCAGCCTGAGCAACAGAGTGAGACTTCATCTCAGAAAAAAAAAAAAAGGATTATACTACACACTAACCAAATGAGATTTCTCCCAGAAAGTTAAGGGTGATTCAACATAAGAAACTGTCAATATAATACGTGTCTAGTAAGAGAACAAAGGAAAAACACACACAATCATCTAAATTATGCAGAAAAGAAATTTAATGAAATCCACCACACTTTTATGATAAAAATATACAGAAAAGTAGGAATAGAAGGGAATTCTCTAAACATGATAATGGACATTTATGAAAACTCACAGCTAACATCATATTCAATGATATAAGACTGAAAGATTTCTCTCTAAGATAAGGACAAGGAAGCTTGCTTTCATCACTGCTGTTTAACACTGTATTGAAAATTGTAGCCACTTTGGGAGGCTGAGGCGGGTGGATCACAAGGTCAGGAGTTCAAGACCAGCCTAGCCAAGATGGTGAAACCCCATCTCTACTAAAAATACAAAAATTTGCTGGGTGTCGTGGTGGGTGCCTGTAATCCCAGCTACTCGGAAGGCTGAGACAGATAATTGCTTGAACTTGGGAGGCAGAGGTTGCAGTGAGCCAAGGTGGTGCCACTGCACTCCAGCCTGGGTGACAGAGTGAGACTCTGTCTCAAAAAATAAAAACAACAAGAACAACAACAATAAAAACTCTCTCTGCTCACAGATTACATGATCCTATAACATATGGTTTGGCTGTGTCCTCACCCAAATCTCACCTTGAATTGTAAAACTCCCCACCTATCAAGGGCAGGCCTAGGAGATAATTTTGAATCATGGGGATGGTTTTCCCCATACTGTTCTCATGGTAGTGAATAAGTCTCACAAGATCTGATGGTTTTATAAGTGGGACTTCCCTGAACAAGCTCTCTTGCCTGCCACCATGTAAGATGTACCGTTGCTTCTCTTTTGCCTTCTGCCATGATTGTGAGGCCTCCCCAGCAATGTGAGTCCATTAAACCTCTTTCCTTTATAAATTACCCAGTCATACTTCTTCATGGCAGTATAAAAATGGACTAATACAGTGTATATAGGAAATCCCAAAGAATCCATAAAAAAACCTTCTGGAGCTAATAAATAAATCTAGCAAAGTTACAGGGTACAAGATTAACCACACAAAAATGTGTTGGGTTTCTATACAGTAGCAATGAACAATGGGAAAAGAAAGTTAAGAAAACTGGCCAGGCACGGTGGCTTAAACCTGTAATTCCAGCACTTTGGGAGGCCAAGGCGGGTGGATCACGAGTTCAGGAGTTCAAGACCAGCCTGGCCAACATGGTGAAACCCCATCTCTACTAAAAATACAAAAATTAGCTGGGCATGGTGGCGGGCACCTGTAATCCCAGCTACTCAGGAGGTTGAGAGAGGAGAATCGTTTGAACCCAGGAGGCGGAGGTTGCAGTGAGCTGAGATCGCACCATTGCACTCCTGCCTGGGCAAAAAGAGCGAAACTCCATCTCAAAAAAAAAAAAAGAAAACTGTTTCATTAGCATCTTAAAAATACCTGGGAATAAATCAACTAAGAAATGATAGAATTTTACATGGAAAACTACAGAACATTGCTGAAGGAAATTACAAATGACCTAATTCAATGGAAATACATCCCATGTTTATGGACTAGAAGACATATTTTGTTAAAATAGCAATACTACTTAAAGCAATTTATAGATTCACCGCAATCTCTTTCAAAATTCTAACAGCTTTCCCTCAAGTTCATATAAAATTGCAAATGCCCAAACAGTCAAACAATCTTGAAAAAGAGAAGCTACGTTGGAGGACTCACATTTCCTGACTTCAAATGCACTACAAAGCTAAAGTAACTAATATGGTATAGTACTACCTAGCAATGCCACTTCTGGGTATTTATTCCAAAAAATTGAAAACAGGTTCTCAGAGAACATTGAAAACAATGCTTCAATTGTTACTGTGTGAGCTCCGTCTCCTGTCAGATCAGTGGAGGCATTAGATTCTCATTCACTGAAACATTATTCAAATAGCTAAGAGGTACAAACATCTTAAATGTCCATCAATGAATGAATGAGAAAAAATATGGTATAAAATAAATGGAATATTATTCAGCTTTAAAAAAGAAAGAAATCCTATCATATGCTACATCATGAGTGAACCTCAAGGGCATTATGCTACGTAAAATAAGCCAGTCACAAAAGGACAGATACCGCATGATTCTACTTATATGAAGTATCTAGAGTAGAAAAACTCATGGAAGCAGAGATCACAATGACAGTTACCTGGGGATAGGGGATGAAGAAAATGGGAGTGGCTGTTCAATGGATATAGAGTTTCAGTCATGCAAGATGGAAATATTCTAGAGATGTACTGTATGACAATGTGTAGATAGTTAACAACAATGTACTGTCAAAAAATTCTAAGAGTGTTATGCATTTTTGTAAAATAGCAACAATGACACAGTGGTACTGGTGTAAGAACAGACATACAGATCAGTGAAATAGAACTGAGACACCAGAAATGAACCCACACATTTATGGCCAATTGATTTTCAACAAGCGTGCAAAGACCATTCAAGGAGGAAAGGATAATATCCTCACCAACTCAATATGAGTCAACTGGATATCTGCATGCAAAAAAATGCAGCTGGAACCTACCCTACCTCATACCATCTACAAAAACTAACTCTAAATGGATCTATGACCTAAATATAAGAGCAAATGAAAGAAACATATGGGGTAAATCTTGATGATCTTGGATTTAAGAATGAATTCTTAGTATGACACCAAAAGAAAAAATAAATAGGACTTCATAAAAATGCATAAAAATGAAAACTTTTGTGTATCAAAGGACACTGTCAGGAAAGTAACATGATAACCAATAGATGGGAGAAAATATTTGTAAATCATATATCTGATAAGAGTCTAGTATCCAGCATATACACAACTCCACAAAAAAAGGACAAACAACCCTGTTAAAGAACAGGCAAAAGATTTGAGTAGACATTTTTCCAAAGAAGATACGCAAATGGCTAACAGACTCAACAAAACATGCTCAACATCATTAATTATTAGGGAAATGCAAATCAAAATATGATACTGCTTCACACCATTAAGATGACAATAATAAAAAAGACAGATAATAACCAGTGTGGGTGTACATGTGAAGACATTGAAACATTTATATATTGCTAATAGGGATGTATAATAGTACAGCCACATTGGAAAAACAGTTTGGCAGTTCCTCAAAAGATTAAACATAAAACTACCATGTGATCTAGCAATTCTACTTTTAGTTACATGCTCAAGAGAAATGAAAATATACATCACCCAAAAAACTTTTGCACAAATGTCTATAGCATCCTTCATAGTACCTCCAAACTGGAAACAATCCAAATATTCTCCAAATGATGAATGAGTAAACAGAATGTGGTATATCTGTACAGCAAAATATTATTCACCAATTAAAAGGAATAAAATTTGGATACATACTGCATCATGGATGAACTTTGAAAACATTATGCTAAATGACAAAAGCTACTCATAGACCATATATTGTATGATTCCATTTATATATAAAATGTCCAGAATAGGCAAATCCATAGAGACAGAAAGTAGATTAGTGGTTGTCAGGGGATGGGGCAAGGGAGTGATGGAAGCAGGTGTGGGGGCTGGAGAATGACTGCTGATGGGCCTAAGTTTTCTTTTTGTGTGACAAAAATGTTCCATAATTAGATTATGGGAACAGTGGTGCTTGCTAACACCGTAAATATACTAAAAACTTGGCCTCTACAAACGGGTGAACTTTTATAGTACATAAAATGTATCTTGATAAAGCTGTTTAAAAAGAGAAAGAACAGTTCCTCCAACAAATGAATTCCTACTGCCATATTTGAGTGTAAAGGGATTTCGGAGCTAAAGACACAATTGCTTAACCCTAACGAGAGGCTGTATTTACCCATGTAGTTATATCAAAAAAGAAACGATCTAAATAATATCAACCCTGAATTACATGATGCCAAAATTAGCTTGACGTGCATGACCTAAATGATATTTTAATACTTTCTCTCTTGAGAAGTCACCTATGATTTCAGCTGTTGCTAATGGTGGTTGGTGGAGATGAATTTCCATGCATACACACAGAAAACCTTGGGGCCTTCTAATTCCATTTGAATACTGATTAAAATGTCTACACTCTGAAACTATCTTTTCTCCATCTTGTACCATTGAGAGAGAACAAGGATAAGACAGGAAACAATTATGAATTGTAAATCAGAGCCTGAAGGAAAAATGTTCCCTACATGGATGACAAATGTTTATAATGCCACAGTGATAAAATATTCAGCCTATTTTTAAAAATTTAATTTACTTATTAACTAGGAACCTCCCCAGAAAAGCATGAGGCTTATGAAGCATTTGCAAGCCATAAAACGACAGCACTTTCTGAGTCTGGGATAAAAGGAATAGACATAATTTGCCTATCTAATAACTGTAACTGCAGAATTTCCAAAGCCAAGTTTAAGTAACATCAATGCTGTGGAACGCTTACACAACAAAAGCAGGACATAGGAAATAAGATTATTTAAGGTCTGTGTCTGTTCCTGCCAGTCCTATGTTAGCACTTGTCAGCGTATATTACAAATTCAGTGTCACCTAGATTCAGTTTCTATATTTAATTTCATTCCTTAAAACATAAGGCTAGGCACAGTGACTCATGCCTGTAATCCCAGCCCTTTGGGAGGCCAAGCCGGGCAGATCACCTGAGGTCAGGCATTCGAGACCAGCCTGACCAACATGGAGAAACCCCGTCTCCACTACAAATACAAAATTACCCAGGTGTGGTGGCACATGCCTGTAATCCCAGCTACTTGGGAAGCTGAGGCAGGAGAATCGCTTGAACCTGGGAGGCAGAGGGTGTGGTGAGCTGAGATCGCGCCATAGCACTCCAGCCTGGGCAACAAGAGTGAAACTCCATCTCAAAAACAAAAACAAAAAGCAAAAAACAAAAACACATAAATAAAACCGCCATAGGAGTTAGTAAATGTATGTTATCAATCATGTGAAAGACTGGAGTATTTCCAAATTTAGCATTTAAATTATAAACGGACATATATATATATATATATACATACACACATGCACACACAAGAATGGATATTTTTCATTCATTAGAATAAAATAGTTCTTTCTGCTAGTTAAATACATATTTCAGACAGCTTTCTAATATGTTTACCCAGTCGAACACATCATTTAAATTTTACCTTGCTGTACCATTATGAGGATTTGCCTTTTATTTGGGCAGTGTGCTTGACATTCCGAACTTTAATCAAATGTGAATTTTCAATATGTGCACACAGAATGTAAAACAAGATCCCTAAGCGTCTCATCAGGAAATAGTTGTCTTCCTCAGCTAGAAATTACAGCTTAAATACTACTTCATTTAGAAGAAACATTTTAGCAGTGAGTTTAAATATGAGTCACTGAAGTGAGAATCCACCTTGGTAAAAGCTATGAATTTCTAGCCTCTGTACAGGAATATTTACATACTTATAATGGATCTGCTTTGAAATACACAGAATCTGCCTTTAAAGTAAGGGGATGTGCCATTTTCAAGAATATAAAACCAAATCAATCACTCTCTCAGGAACATGTACAGCTTTAAACACCTAGTGTAAGTAGCTGGCATATGGTAAGAGGTGAATAATGTTAAAATATGCCCTATACACACAGGAACATGCACGGACACAACACATTGTGGTTTTTTGGTAATTCTGGATGTACAAAACATAAATATGAAGTTTGTGTTGCTATTGTTTATTGATCAATCGATCGATTAATCAATCGCCACTCTATGCACAATGATGGCTTCCTGCCAGGTTGCATTAATGCTATCTAGTTTATGGACCACCTAGTTGTTAGCACACATATGGATTCACATCAGTGATTCTAATTCCTGATGAGCCCTATGAGAAAGTCTTCCTGGCTCAAAGCAGCAGTGGGATTCCATGAATAATGCCCATTCTTAACCTCACCCTGCAAAGTACCAGCATGGACCTTTTCTGAAAAGCCTCAAAGAAGGAGAAAAAAAATAAGAGAAATATCAGAGGGAGATTATACACTAGTTTGGTAATGCTGTAATCAGTTGGCTGACAATTAAGCCATGAACTGTCATTAGCAAAGAAGTGAACATTACTTGGAAACTTCCATGGGCATGAAGAATCTGATCGGGTAGAGATCCTTCAAAAGATGCCAGTGGTGTCTCTACCCTTCAAGAATAATAAAATCAAAGGACAAAGAAAATAAGATGGCGGTCTTTGAAAGGAGAAAAAAAGACAGCACTGCATCAAGAAAAAAATGTTCTTCTTCCCTCTTTTCCAATATTAATGGAATAGATGGCTATGACTGAATTTATTTCAAGTTCATTCAGAAAATATTTAATATTTATCACCATGTGCTGGCACTGCTTGAGGTGCTATAATGAAAATGAATGATGGATTTCAAAGTTACCAGGGAGCAAGATCCACAGCAGAAGAATAACAGGTGAGAATTTGTTTGAATGAATGGCTGTACAACAGAGCTAGTGCAGAACTGACTTCATGAATAACAGGCTAGTGGGCAGCACACCATACGGAATTCCCACTGCTGCAAATGCCAGGAGAACAGGAAAAGAAACTCAAAGTGGAATATTGGGAACACGGAGGAATTCAGTATCCTTGGACTCTTGACTGATTAAATGTTTCTGTTATTTTTATCTTAAGTAAACATATTCCGAGAACAACATAATAAAAGTCTAAGTAGGATTACTGGGCATGTGGTGCCTTTCAGTATTTTCAGTATTCCCAAGAGTTCTGGGGATGGGTGAGGGAGGGGAGAATATACCAACAAAAGCACATTTTCATAAAATAAATCATGGGGTAGAAGGTTGATACAAAAATAATGTTCCTAATTTTCTTGTGTCAAGGCAACATAAAATATAGTTTCCCCAAATAATGCATGGTTGCTTGAATAATTTTTTAGTTTCAGAAGGGGGTTACTTTGAAGGATGACACCAGTTTTATTTGTAAATTATAAAATATTTGATGTAGAGGAAAGCAGTGTTACTTACAGTAATTACTTAAAAGAATGATGAAATATAAGAAGTGACTAAATTTTTCCTGACATCTCCTCCAACTTTGCTAAAATTTTTCCCTGGAAAAACCCCCCTGAATTCCATGGCACTGATGTTTTTCTCCTTTAGTGGAAAGGAAAATATTCTGAAGTTAAATGAGAATGCGTTATTGCATATCATGATAGTATATCAATAGATGTAATTTTATGTGATTGATGACTTATTTGGCACAAAAACATTTTAGAAAACTTTAATATCATCTTGGTGTTTCAGATATGATGCTCTTGTCCATTTCTATTGTAGCCAATGAGACCATGTTAAGGATATATCATCCATGATCCCATTTTCCTATGAAAAATCCTAGTAGACTTATTTCAATTCACAGTGAAAATCCTAGGAACATCATCCACCATTAATTTCTGCATTTAAAAAGAATTCTATAAAGCCACTGATTAAGTTGTAGGTCAAAGCTTAAATAAAAATATTAAGCATAATTTTACTGAGTTCTAAGAATACTTCCCACATTGCCTTATGTCAGGCAGATAACTAAAAAATATAATTTACGAATATTCCCAAGAACTTTGTTGTGCACAAACACTGATATTAAATAGTTCAAATGGTATAGAAATCTAGTAACAAAATCAATGAGTTTATTGCATATTGCCATAAAAATGCTAACACCAAAAGAATTATCCCCTCACCCACATACGTAGAGTCCTTTGGTAATTAAACATGTTGCATATTATAAAGTGTGTCTCTCAGGATACTAAATTAAACGCCTGCAAGTTGAAAGAGTTAATTCAGCTTCTAAAGGAATACCACTTTGTTAATAGAGAAAAGCTTCAATACAGGTAAAAATGGGATTTTACAATCTTTTAGTCAGCATTTTCATTACCCTTGGCCTTCTGATGTTAATGTCTGTCTAAAGTAAAGGAATATCAAATGTACTTATCACATTTAGGAAGAACAATTAAATTAATCTTTTCAAGTCCTTTTTGAAGGAAGTTTTATGAGGACTTTCTAATTTTTATTGGCATTTACTTTTTCAACATTTTTTCCCCCAGACTTCATCAGGACAGCCATGTTAGCATAATGTACTTGAATAACAGAAAACACATTTTCTCTCATAATAAGCATCGATTATTTGATCTTCAATTTGGGTTTGTTTTTGCAGGCTTCGAAGGTATTTTAAATGATTCAAATGCTGTCTGTTTACTGTGCTACAGGGAAAATGAATCGAGGAGACTATAATCTATAGAGCTTTACTTTTTCTGAAATTTCCAGTCAAAATATGTAATAACAACTCCAACAGCAATGCCAACTGAATTCCTATGCTTTTTGTCATGAATAGTTGAGTAATATGTCCTGAGCCTCAGCAGCAAGATCATGCAGACCTGTACTGGAAAAATGGTACTTTCTTCTATATCAAACTTCATTAAACGTACATAACTCTCAGGAGAGCCTTCCTGAGTCCCATTTCCATTCTCTGCCCACAGGTGGTAGACCTCAGGCCACTATCTAGTTTTTAAATACAGACATATGGTTCTGTTCTCCTATTATGTAGGGCCATGGCCTAAAGCAGGACATGGGAGGCTTTTCTTAGGGAGACGTGTACAGAGGTAATTTCCACATCTTAGGTGAATTATTTCCTAAAATAGATCTAAGACTGAGCCTACTGTCAAGGTCATCTATTTCACTGCCAACTTCTTACAAGTCACAAAAAGGACGTTCTTCTCACCTGTCCTAAATGTCATGTGGTGCATAATGCCAGCATGTAAGTAGCTGAGGACCAGAAATTGGGGTGGGATGCTAGGAACAATTCAAAACATGATTATGCATGTAGAGAAACAAATTATTCTAATACCCAAGATCCTTTGCAAGCAGGTCTGCTACTATATTATTTTTGACTTACAGTTTGGAAGATGTTCAATGAATTGAGTGACTTTCCTATAACAACATTCCTTTTATTCCAAGTGAACCATTTATGTTTCAATACATACTGTATACACACAAAAAGGAGTAGAACTCTGTCCATAAGTAATATTTATCCAAAGATTTATTCACCTATTAGGGGGGAAATCCTACCATTTCATTAAGGAAAAAATTTGCAACAAAACTTTACTCTTAAGCTTTAATTATCAAAAAATTTAGTTGCATAGTTTTGATCAATATCAATAATAATTGTAATGATAACTCAATCTGAAGGAATATCTTAGCACTTGGAGCCTTACAATCATGGAAATTAAACAGAAAATTAATTTTACTTTATATACATGTGTTTGTTTGCAGAAATGATAGGGTGGTTATTAAATTTTTCAAAGCATAAATTTGTATTATATTAGCATAAATTTTTGTAGGGGAATTATAATGGAAATACAAGTTCAGGAGAAAGGAAAACAACTGTTAAAGAAAAACCTGCTTATGTCTTTTTAAATGGATAATAATGGCTTGCAAATTGAAGAGAAATTTAGATCTTTAGTTCATTGAAAGTGTTTATAAGACTAATGTAATGTTGTCTTAACTGTTAATATTTACAATATGGCACCAAATGCATCCTTTCCAACTATTTATTTATTCATTTATTTAGAGACCTAGTCTTGCTCTGTCACCCAGGCTGGAGTACAGTGGCATGATCTCGGCGCACTGCAACCTCTGCTTCCTGGGTTCAAGCGATTCTCCTGCCTCAGCCTCCCAAGTACCTGGAACTACAGGTGTGTGCCAACACGCCTAGCTAATTTTTGTATAGAGACAGGGTGTCACCAATCATGTTGGCTAGGTTGGTGTCAAACTCCCAACCTCAAGTGATCCACTCACCTCAGCCTCCAAAAGTGCTGGGATTACTGGCATCTATTTAAACTTATGATAAAAATTTTAGATAACAACTTACCAATGTTCATGAGTGTATATAGAGTTTCAAATTTATTTTAGGGAGGACATAACAAAAAATATGAAGATGATTGTACTGGATCTCTGCCTCTAATTCAAATTTTGATTACTTCTGAAGAGACAGATTCTCAATGTTTTCTGTGCAATTACAAAGTTCAGAGTCATTGAAGGTTTCAGGATGATTGTGACCATGTGAGTATGTGTGAGAGATGTGAAAATGTGCTGCATTTGAGAAGAAAATTCCTATTAAAATGTGGAAGGCAGGACACAGAAGCAAGAACTTGAATGCTGTTATAATTTACCAGAACTAGAAAAAAAATTTATGATATTTTGGAATGAATATTGACAAATATATAAAGTGAGTCCATAAAAATAAAAACAGATGCTTTGTTTGGGGGGATGGCATTATCAATAAATTTTCTTTCTCCTTTTTTTAAGTGACTTTAAGTGTATATTATCTGAATTGTTTCCTTAAAAATGTACGTTAGATTCACATGTAGAAAAAAGAAATGTCCCTGTAAACACTAAAAAATAGACAACTTATACATAAGTTATTGGCAACATTTATCATGAATGAGACCACAATGTAAAGAGCCAGTACTCACAATGGGCTAGAAGTCCAGCTTCTCAAACAGAGGACATAAGCATACTGATTGATGGGTCATAATGGTTTAATCTAGCAATGGAAATTGTTTTTACTTAATAAAATAAACTGCTAAAAAGACTTAAAGGGGGAAAAGGACGACAAAGACCAAACAACACATAATGTTCACTTTAGGGCAGTAGGAAAGAAGAGGGGACAGTGAGACTTAATGCATTCCCGAGGTCTCTTCTCTTGGTATTACCATCCAGATGCTGTCCATGGTCAGCAGCAGCAACAGTGTGTCACCCATGGGCAGCATGCAAGAACACTAGTCACGCAATATCTATCAATATCCATGTGTTCACTGTCTATCTCCCGCACAGACTGTAAGCTCCATGAGGGCAGCGATTCCTCCTGCTGTCTTCACTGTTCACTGCTTTATTTCTAGTGCTTTCAAACAGTGCCTAACCACAGTAAGGGATAAATAAATATGTGTTGAATCACTGGATGGATGAGTGTTTCAATGAATTAATGAGTGATCTGAGTACTTAGTTTCAGATTAATGAAAGCCAGGGGAGGAACTTCAAGAGTGTTGTAACCACTCGTGTCAGATGACGTGAGATGGATTTCAGGAATCTGAAGGAAGGTGATTGGATCTAAGATTTAGGAAGTCATTTTGGAGACTTTTAAATTAATATTTGAGGTCTATTGCTTTAAAAATTAGTTTGTAAGTTACGCAGAGAAACAGCATAGTGACTAAGGAGGGAACTAAGATTCAAGGAAGGTGTTTTGTTTATTTTTATTTTTTTCCCAGAAAATGGAAAACATGAGAAGGAAAATTTCTCATGCCAACATAAAGAGTAAATAAGTCCAACTGTTGACATAAACACAAACAGTAATAGTTCTTTATACAGTACTTTGCAGTTCTTGAAAAACTTTAATATATTTAATCTCCTTTAAAACTTGAAACTACTCCTTAAAATGCCCCTTGAGATCAATTTCATCTCTGGAAACGGAAATGAGAAAGGCCAAATACCTTGTCCAAAGTCGTGCAACTCATAGTTGGTGGCGCCTAGAAAATAAAACTAGGTGGTTTGACCCATTTCAATGTCAGCACCAGGGGAGGGAAAAGTGACTCCACTTTGAATGCTAATCTGCCATGTTGACTTTCTGATTAGCCCCATGACTGCCTCCTGGTTTTTACTTTATTAATGTTTACTTCAACTAGCGTAAGAACAAAGCAACCTTGATGCTATCATACAAAGTACAGGCTATGACACACACCACATTCTTGCCTGTTCTGGAAGGTTGCCTTTAACTGTCTTGCTGAGGAGCGCATCTGCTTTCCTGAAGCTGTATAAGCCTCGGGTCTGAGGAGTAGCAGCGTGGGGATCTGCCTGTCTTGCTGCTATCCAAGGCCACGGTTCTGTCTTTAAGTTCCCTCAATACATCACCCAATATCGACAAACTGAATCTGTCTGCCTCCTTCTTTGGTTCCTCAGCTCCTTCAGGATTTGGGGGTCACTTTGCATACATGGCCCTTTCACAGAAAAGCATCATTTGAATATACTCAAATAAACATACATTTTTGTTTTTGAGGAGTATGTGCGTGACATGCAATAGTTAAATGGGGATTCTGGCTTAGCATGCCAGCTTTGCCTATATAAAAATGTTAAAACACTGACATTTGTTCCTATCTGTCATGTTCATTTACTGTAGCTATTAACTAGAGCCCATAAACAAGTGGGTGGTTAATATCATTTTTACCCTTAGGAAAGAAAGAGTTTCAACATCTTTTGCATTTCTAAATCAAAGTACTCAGTACAATAAGTCTTTTTTTAAAGCAGAGAGTATTAAAGATTATTGAAAAAATAACTGATCTAATTTAGACACTTATCAGAAATAAATCATGCCCTCAGAAAATGATTTATCTTGAGAAAATATGCAGTTTTCCTTGAGAAAATGGCATCAGAAGAGGCAGAAGGAGATAAGCCAGATGGAACGGGATGGGAATAAAATAATAAACATGTTTAATATTCTAGGGCTCATTTTTGTAGCTGCATATTTTGGCCAACACTTTAGAATACAGTCTCACTGCAAAAAATACAGAATCAAGGGATGAGGAAATTGAGTCCTAGGAACTAAATTGGCTTGTTGATATCATGTGACTGATCAGTAGTTGTACAACTAAAGAAAGAGCTCATGTCTCCTGATATGTCTTTTCTTCATACAATGTCACTACATGCAAATTTCCAAACTTGGAAAGAGCCAGCATATAGGGACTCTGTGTTGTACCTTTTAAAGAAGAGAGAGGCTGAAAGACTTGAATAAGTACTTAGCCTGTACACTGAGTCTAGAATTCAAGAAATGTCTGGATTTCAAAGAGGCTACTATTTTATGCAGATCATTGCAGAACTCTCTACAAGGATTATCAGTGGAGGCCTGGAAAACTATGATGCCAATTGATATAATAAAATCCAAACAAACTGCGACATAGTTCTACAAATTAGTTTTCTAAAACTGAGGGGAAGAATATATTATGTATATAGATTAATCTTAATAAAATTCAATTTCATGTTGTTGAAATTCCAATGTCATTTCCCATACCTCCTTCAATCCCAATTTATTCTTTCTTTCTAATTAGGCTCAAGGAGTTATTAGTCCATGTGTACCTGATGTCCATTCAGATATTTTGGGGGCTGGGGGATGGAGTCAGCCTCTGTTGCCCAGGCTGGAGTGCAGTGGTGCAATCTTGGCTCACTGCAACCTCCGCCTCCCCCTGGGGTTTAAGCGATTCTCCTGCCTCAGCCTCCCAAGTAGCTGGGATTTCAGGCATCCACCACCACGCCCAGCTAATTTTTGTATTTTTAGTGGAGACGGTGTTTCACCATGTTGAGACCACCAGGGTGGTCTCAAACTCCTGACTTCAGGTGACCTGCCTGCCTCAGCCTCCCAAAGTGCTGGGATGACAGGTATGAGCCACCGCACCCAGCTGTCTATTCAGATTTAAAGAGCTATAGTTCATCATGCATTGTAACAAATCTTAAGTCTGATTTTAACCTTCCTGGCATTTTACACTGTGGCATAGTAAGAAGTCAAACTATACATACAAAGTTTTCCTTGAAAGCTTGACATTGCATCTTCTTCATTGATAAATCTGGTAAAAGGAAACAGTAAATAATTTTGAAAAAAGCACTAAAAACCAGTCATTTCATTATAAGGTTTGTGTTCTTTAATATAAAAAGGATTAAGTTCAATTAAAACATCTATATTCTCCAATATGTTCCAAGTGCTGTTTGTCAATTTGCCAATCCAGCCCTTGAATTTTCAGACATGAAACTGGGATGGAGGGGTTGCACTGGAGTGGTGCCTGGCTCGGTCACATCACAGCATTCAGACATTGTTAAGTATCATCCAGTAAGTTGGTCCTTGATACTGTCTATCTAGTATACCATGTGATTATCTCTTTAATTTCCTGAAATGAGTCAAAGATGCAAATAAAAGAAAAATGTGCAAACAACTTACTTTTTGCTTTCTCTACATGAGTACATGTCAAATTAATTTGTGGTATAGACAAAAATTTCCTCTCCAAAGCAGCATTAACAATAGATCAGGGTTCAATCTAACAACAAAATGATGCTGAGGAAAACTGAGATTACTCTATGAAAGTACTGGAATGATTAATGCAATTTTGCCAATGAAATGCTAAGTTACATGGAAGAAGGTGATCCTAAGCATACTTTATTTTATTCTAGTAAGAAAGTAGTTCATTAATTTGCCTGTATCTTTGATTATGTACTATTAGCAGTAAAATATAGTTTTTGAATGACACATCTACCAAGGGAAATCAATTGGTTCTCAGAGCAGGGCAGAGCTCAGATATGCAGATTTAACCTTCTTTCCAATTTCAAAAGTGAGACTGCCAGAGAAAGGCATGTAGTGAGCCTCTTGAAGCCTCTGAATTTGGAGTCACATTGAGGGGTAATTATAATTATCAAAATGTCCATGGTCATTAGAACTGATTGAACTTTTACTCCACACTCGACCTATACAATCAATAGTAAAGTGGACTGTGCATCTTGCCTCCATTCTGTTTGTAATATCATAGAATCTTGAGTGTCAAGAAAGTTTAAATAGTAGGCTGTATGATGGTAGATCAAAATGCCTAACAAGCATAAGCTAATCAAATTACTATTTATTGATTTAACAAAAAAGGTCTTGTTTTCACTTGTGTGTCTTTTAAGGAGATAAATTAAAATGGCATTTTAACCTTTTTGCTTATCCCAATCAAAGACACCTCTCTCAATCCTCCCTTTAATTATTTGCTAAGAGCAGTGCTCCTCTTGTAATTTTGACACTTCTTCCTCTATTCTGACTGAGCTCTATTGATGCAGTTGTCATGTTCCAGCAGTGTGCATCATTCACAGGGCTGATTTACAAGGTTCAAACTTTTTTAAGTTCTTAAACTTATAATTAGACTATGTGCTCAATTTTTACACAAACAGTTCAGCATCTAAGTTTCTGCTTAAATACACCTTTGACACACTACCTTCTTGGCAGGTTCCAATTATACTTTATTGACTGGAGTTGCCAACATTGGAGAAAGCACACGCCACGCTCCTACCTGAGACTTGTTATTGACCATGACACTGGAAAAGGAGCATGTGGCTTAGTTAGCTGTGCCTTCAGACTATTTTCATTCACAGCTAGATGCGAATTATTCACTTCTCCTTGGTCAATTTTTGCCTCTTTCAAGATGACTGTGTGACTGTTGATTTCTTTTAACTGTCTGAATCTGAACAATAGCAGGATCCTATCAAATGTCCATAGAAAATGACTTTTCATTAGTGCTTTGCAAAAGCCATTGTGGAGAAATTAAAGCACTTTGTAATTGGCCCTTTCCCTTTTTCAGGCTTCAGTAGGATATTTTCAACTCAATTGAGATAACTTAGGGTCAAAGTCTACTAACTGTCTTTGAGATCTTTGTGCTCCCTTAAGGGCTGCCACTAATTATAGGCAAAAATCTTCTGCTAAAATTTTAAGATTTTACATATTTCAAGACAGGGAGTTTTTTTTCACCTTCTGAATATACATTGAAACATGGAACTGTCAACATAATTCAGGATTCCTGACATTTAATTTTAATCAAACATTTAATGCTGTAATTCCCTTTGCTTTTACATCCCTACTTTAAGTGTGTCTCTCTACTATATTGATAATTCATGTGTAATAAGGAAATGTTCTGGCAAAGAAAAAGTGGATTAATTTCTAGAATAAATTAAGATAAATCTAGGTCAATATTGAGATAATCTAATAACTTGGGCCAATACATTTATCTGTTATGTTCTTTCTCCCAGCTGCATGATCAGTAGGCATAGAAAAAATAGCTAAATATTCTTTGGCTAATATGTTTTGATCTATTTCACTGTGTTAACACAATTCTGGAAAATTGAGCTGACCAAGTTTCATTGGGGTATTGACCGACACGGCAGCACCCCTATGGTCCCTTCTGCTTGACTAAATTTTAGACAGGTTTCTTTCTAACTATAGGCTCTGACTTCTCTTTTCTTAGTGCATTTACCTTAGAAAAGTTGTAAATTCTTTCTCTGCCTCTTTGAGATGTAAATCTTCTCCAAGCCTCTTGTCACCTTTACAACTCAGGAATATCCTTCTCAAGGAACTGGGAGCCAACTGTTTGAAAAATAATCAATAAGATAGGGCCCCTATCTTCTAGTCTCTATGTGAGGGTAGGAGCATAACTTTAACAAGCACCAATAAGCAAACACATGTGGCTTAATCACATTGACCAAAACCTCCCCCTTAATCTTCTCCAGCACTTTTCCAACAGTTCACTCCAATGCTAAAACCTCTCCAGCATTTTGGTTCAGTGAAGTTGTTTATTTTTTTCCCTCTTGTGCAATGGTGTCGCTCTCCCATTGCAATAGTCTTGAACAAAATCTTCCATGACTGTTTAACTCCATCTGGTGCAGTTTCTTTTTGATGGTTCTTTTACTTTGACTCAATACATTATAGATTTCAATGAAACCAACTGTATTTTCATTCACGTATGTAACATGTTACTTGTGAATTCACCAATCTATTTTGGTCCTGTTTTGATTTTCTTGGGGTACTTTTCATTGTGCCAACGCACAACAATTTAGAGAGTGGGTATGCTATTTATCTAAACTTGTTTAAATATAGTCATAATTCTTACTCACTAGATTTTAGCTAAATTCTATGCACAATATCAATAAGGCCTATATTCATATAAGAATTTAGTGTACACATCATTTCATTAGATTAATTTTTAACAATTTACCTATCATTTATTTTTAAAAAACCTAAAGGCATTGTTCAAGATATTTATAATTGTAAAAATGCAATAAACATGTTTAAAAATGTTTAAAAATGTAATTTTCTTGTTTTAACTAACATAATGACATGTAAGATACTGAATTAAAGATAATAAAAATAATGCTAGGTAAATTTAATGTGTGAAATGCCGTCTGATAAATATTTTACATTCAGTCCTCATTTAATCCTCATAGTAATGTCTGAGAAAAGACCTTTACAAGTAAGGAAACTGAGGCTTAGAGAGTATAAGTAACTTGCCTAAGGTGTTCAATAAATGTTTGCTGGTTTGATTTGTAATGACTTAGGTTGTCCTCTGGGTACTAAATCAATTACTCTATTTTGTCTTTTAAGCTAGGTAATATGCCTGTTTTAAGGCCTTTTTATAGGAGGTAAAAAGCTCTGTCCCATGTTTTCCCAGAAATAGTGGCATTTACTCGAGGGAGAAGAAATCCCAGAATCAAGTAACGCTAAGCATCCCAAGAAAACTATGCAAGCTCCAGCAGGTGCTCCTTAGTAAGTCCCCTTCTGCTGAGATCAGCAAACCAGCTCATTGGCATCTTGATGTGCATTGTGAACAGCTATAGAGTCCCACACCAGAAGACACTCTTTGTGACTCAGCCAAATGATCCTTTGTAAAACTGTTTGGCAAATTGCTTTGAAATTCATTTTGCTGCAAAGTGCTGTGTAAATGCAAGGTGACTATCTTTTTTATAATAACTGAATTCATGTACCTTTTTAAGTTTCTGCCATGCCTATTTTGTAGATATTTTATGGCAATACTCCATCATCAGCACCTATTTTTAGTCTTTCTGTCATCTCTAAGCCCCCAGTTCCAACTGTCCAACTTGGAATAAAATTTACATTCATGAAGAGACACTTCATTGCTATATAGAGAAGCTATAGAAGATGTTCAAATAAAAATATATATTTCAAAAATTCCTGCTATGAGTTCTAAGCATTGCCATAGTTTTGTACAGAAAGATGGCAGTGATGCTAGTCTCAAGGTGTCTTAGTTTATGCTAGCACACAGACACAAGTCCTCTGAATGTAATATAGAATAATAAATATAACAACACACATGCCAGAGTATAAATGGATTTCAAAGGTGGTTTATTTTCAGTAATTTATTTAATGAACACAATTGAATACAAAGTATTTGTCAGGTGCTAGAAATAGAGTAGTGAGTACAGAGACTGGGATCTCTCAGTTCATGGAACGTACTATCTACATGTCTAGTTGGGGTTTCAGGGAAGAGTGAGTAGGAGCCACAAAGATAGGGATGTCTGACAGGGTATTCCAGAAGAAGAGAAACAAACAAGGAAAAGCACAGACACAGGGAAGTATAAAATATCCACGCAAAATCATTGCAGAGCAAGTACTCTAAAGCACCACCAGTATTTGCAGGTTCCCAAATTCTTTGTGAACCAAGTATAAATTGGAATTTGGGACAAATTGCCAAATGAGGAAAAAATCAAATTGATGAGTCATTTGTGAGAAAATGAAACTTCATTGCCTCGCTTTCAATATATGCCAATAATGTATAAATGTTTGGTTTTGTTATTTATTTTCTCAGACCCCAGGACATCTGACTTACTCAACCTTGTAGGAAAATCTCTAACAGAATCCCTCTATCAGAGGAATTATGGTGATTAAAAATATCTTATAAGAGATGTCTGTACTCCCATATTATTTGCAATAGCCAAGATATGAAATCAACCTAAGTGTCCATCAACTGATGAACAAAAAATGTGGTCGACACAATGGAATACTATTCAGTCTTTAAAAAGTAGAAAATCCTGCCATTTGCAACAACAGGGATGAATCTGGAGAACACTGGTAAGTGAAATAACCCAGGCACAAAAGACTAATACCGGTGATCTCACTTATGTATGAAATCATTCTACTATAAAGACATGTGCACACGTATGTTTATTGTGGCACTATTCACACTAGCGAAGACTTGGAACCAATCCAAATGCCCATCAATGATAGACTGGGTAAAGAAAATGTGGCACATATGCACCATGGAATACTATGCAGCCATAAAAAAGATGAGTTCATGTCCTTTACAGGTACATGGATGAAGCTGGAAACCACCATTCTCAGCAAACTATCATAAGAACAGAAAACCAAACACTGCATGTCCTCACTCATAAATGGGAGTTTAACAAAGAGAACACATGGACACAGGGAGGGGAACATCACACACCAGGGCCTGTCGAGGGCTGGGGAGCTAGGGGAGGGATAGCATTTGGAGAAATACCTAATGTAGGTGACGGGGTTGATGGGGGCAACAAACCACCATGGCACGTGTATACCTAAGTAACAAAACTGCACATTCTGCACATGTACCCCAGAACTTAAACTATAATAAAAAAAATTCAAACTCATAGAAGCAGAAAGTAGAATGATGGTTACCAGCAGTGTTGGGAGTTGAGGAAGTATTGGTTGAAGGATACAAAATTTCTGTGAGATAGGACGAATAAGTTCACGAGATCTATTATACAACATAGTGACTATAGTTAATAATATTCTTGAAAATCACTGAGTAGATTTTAAGTGTTCTTACCACAAAAAAAGATAGGTATGTGAGGTAATGCATATGTTAATTAGCTTGATTTAGCCATTCCATTATATATATATACACACATATATATTTCAAAACATCATGCTGTATATAATGTATACAATTTTTTTCAATTAAAAATTAATTAATTTTTTAAAAATCTTATAAGTTAGAGTTTTTACTCAGTCTAGCTAGAGTTATACAATAGTAACTATTGACCTCAAAATTTCATTGACTTACAACAAAAAGTTTTATTTCTAGCTCTCAATCTGTTCCATTCTATCCCCACTCTGAGACCACATCTGACAGTAACAGCTTCTTTCTGGAACAATTCAGCTATGATAGCAGAGGGAAGTAAAGAAGGCATGGAGAACAATAAGCTTTACCTTAAAGCTTTTGCTAGAAGGAACTGGGCTTCTTTCTGCTTAATTAGTGGTGTGCTTGAGTTTTGTGCATATTGGTTTGCAAGAACCAATGTTGAATGTTTATAAATTTGATGAGCAAGTGGTTAAAGATGGCCATTAATAAAAATTAAATTATATAAACTTACAATCAAGGAAATTTCATTAAAAATGAATACTTAAAACCCACCAACTCTTAGTTTACTATATTTTATTGTCATCTATGGTCTTAAGGTTATTTACATCTGTTGTATCTGTATGATGGAAATAATATGCAATAGCATGCTACTGCATATCTCTTTTAAATTCCAAGTTCAGTGACATCACATCGTTTCAAGATGATTTGCACTACAGAAATCGGAAAACTCTATAAATAAGTGCTTTCGATTTCTCTTCAACATTTGTGGCCACATTACTCACAGTCATTGACTAGAGCAAGTCATGTGGTCACACCTGAAATCAACATGGCTAGGAAGTATGTTAAAGTCTAACACAGAACTTGAGATGGAAATTTGGGAGATAAGGAAGGGAAGGACTCATCATTGTAACCATGTCTCAACGCTGATTCTCTTGATTTTCCCTTACGTTTAACTTCACTTGTTGCTAATGCAGCAGGACCCTTGCAGTCTCCTCATTTAGAATCTGTCATTTATCAGCAACATTTATGGAACATTTACCTTGTGTAAAGCAAACATGGAAATATCTACAACAACTCCTTTTAATTATCACCTCTTTCTTCACTACTATATTGCTAAAAAGCAAAGATACTGCCTCCATCTTCCTTTATCAAAATTATTGCAATCTTGGTAGTTTCCTAGGTTTTATACACAAGCGTGCATGCACACACACACACACACACACACACATATTATGTCTTTTTATGCTGATGTGATAATGGACAAGAAAAGAGGTAAAGACTCTTCTTCTTTTGGTTTGGAGAGGAGGTCTTCTACCATAGCCTTAGGGCTCTGGACACGAAGAGCAGAGCAGCCCTCAGTTTCCCCTGACCAAGTCATTATTTTATGTTGGGACTAATTGGGTAAAGTCGATGCATAGCCAATGGGGTAAGATGCTTAGAAGAAAGTCCAATTTCTTCTAGTAATCCTACCAAAGAGAAGAACTTGGTTGATTTTAATACATAAAATAGGAGAGTAGCAAATATACTCTAGGCTTTTTTGTACGTGAAAGGCACAGATGTAGCTCAAAGTGATGTCTCCTATGGCATTTAAGAGCCAATAAAAACATTCATTCATTCACTTATTCATTCATTCATCAAAACCTACTGGTAAAAGATGTTACTTAAAAAGAGAACTTTTTAAAAAGAGGAAACACGGAGAAGTTCAGGATAACACGGGTGTAGGAATTTGCAGTTCCCTTATGAAGCTACTTGACCTTGATCCTCTGCTAAGAAGTAGGTGTCTGTTGATCACAGTTTGAACACCACATCTCTAAGACAATTCCATTATTTCACTCATGAGGTAATTGTGCTTCACCAACAGATAGATGATTTCATTCAAAACTTAGTGGCCAAGCCCAAGATCAGAAACCAGGTTATTTTCTTCTAATTTAGATGTCCTATAATCCCAATTCTATATGTATAACTATTTTTGTGAAAAGTGACAAGCCTACGAACTTCCACCTAAATAAATATCATAGAAAAACAAATGCAATTTCAAGAGCAAAAGCATACTTCCAAATGAGCTCATAGTCTTTGAATGCTCTTTTATTATTTTAAGTTGTCCTCTCAGACCAGTTGCCATGGACTTTGCAGAATTTTGAAATGTTATTTGGTCTATAACATTGGCTTCCTACTGTGACCTGGAGTGGTTTTAGTTAATAAGCAGAGCAGTTTGCTTTTTTCAACTATTAAATGTTTTGAAAAAGTAGAGGTGAGTGGAGACAAGAAAGCACTAACCACCAAGAAAAATATTCTCCCCGGTCCATGCACCTAAGGACTCGAAGCCTCAATGTTAGAATGTCACTGTACTTGCCTACAAAGGAAGGCCATTACATCACTCGAAAAGTTTTATTGAAACCAAGTCTGATAATCTCAAAGACAGTGTGTGACATAAAGGAATGATATTTTCTGCAGAGCAAATACTCAAACCACACAATGAAGTAGCTGAAACGATCAGAAGCTTTTCCCAAAGGGGCCTGTATTCATAATTCAGCCTTAGCGTGTTTTCTGTAGTAGGCTCTTTGTGCACCTTGAAATTTTAATTACACAATCACCATTATACTATTCCAAAAATTTTTAAAGGAAATTACAGTTTTAATGGTAAACTATTCACTTGTGTACTACATCTTCAAAGGGATTGTGGAAAGGTGTCAGATTTCAAATAAAAATGGTTCCAGGAAATAACTGCAGAAAAATAACAAGTGATAATTTCAATGTATTGATTAAAATTACTATTATTGGAACTTATAAAACTAAAATTATTCCTTAACTATCTTCTGGAAACAATGTAAGTTTTCTTAGGATATCTCGACATAATGGAACACATTCATTTGCTTTTTCACTCATCTTTTCTGGGGATGACTACAATATAGGCAAACACTAGGTTTCCAAAGGGGCAATTTTTACTTAAGATTTGTTCTGTTAGGGTAGAATTATGAATCCCAAGAAAAACATTCATTTCCTATCCCCAGTGCTATTGTCAAGGTAATTTTTATGAGGTTTATGAATAATATTCAGAAGGTATCTTTATAAAATTTGTTTCAGAGAAAAATATTTTGAATTCTTATGCCATCATTATGTAACTATAATTGAAAATATATTTGTATGATTATTTGATAAGTTTCTGATACCATTACTGAAGTTTAAGTTCACTAGTACCTAGAACAATTTAACAACTTGATATTAACATATACCAGGTTAACCATATTACACGTATGGGAAAGGTCAGATGATCTGAGGCAACAGAACTTGATGGAAAATGCAAGTGATTAAGAATAGTTGTGGTTGGGTGCGGTGGCTCTTGCCTGTTATTCCAGCACTTTGGGAGGCCAAGGTGGACGGATCACTTGAGGTTAGGAGATCGAGACCAGCCTGGACAACATGGCAAAATGCTGTATCTACTAAAAATACAAAAATTACCTGGGTGTGGTGGTGCACACCTGCAATCCCAGCTACTTGGGAGGCTGTGCCAGGAGAATTGCTTGAACCCAGGAGGCAGAAGTTGTACTGAGCTGAGGTTGTGCCACTGCACTCCAGCCTGGGCGACACAGCGAGACTCAGTCTCAAAAAAATAAAATAAAATAAAATAAAATAAAATAAAATAAAATAGTTGAAGTACAGGGTGCTATGTGAAAAATGTTATACAGTGACAAAACAGGAAAGGTATGCAGGGGCCATGATTTTGTGTATCATGGCAATACTTTAAAAAATAAGTAAAAATTATATCAACCTCATGTTCTAACAAACTGAAATCAGGCAAAAACAGGTATATAGAAGATATTTCTGCTGAAAGCCCACAGCTTATTTACCTTTTGCAAAAGTAGACCTACCCTACAGAACCACTAAAACATAAGGTTTGCCTGGGCACAGACTATGAATTCTCAGCATACAGTGTAGAAACTGACTCACGGTATATGTTTGATAAAAGTTTATTAGATGAAGAAATAAATGAATAAGTGTGCCCATTTAAAAATCGTACTGGATATTGTACCAAAACTATGAACGTGTAGCACAGATTAGGGAAACAAAAAACAGCTAAACAAATGGGAAAAACTCTCTTCTTTAAACTCAAAGACAAGCAATAGAGAACACTAGAGTCAGCCTTACAGAACCACTATCTTCAGTCACAGCACTAACACTTTCACTCATGCTTTCCTGGCTTGTGGGGCTGTTAATGGAACATATCCTAATTTCCATCTCCTCTGCCTTAAAGAAAGAAGGAAAACAGAATCAAAGTTTCTTTTAGAATAAGCAATGAGCAATAATTCCTAACCTGGTTTTGGGAAAAGAAATGGGAATTGAACTATTAGGGCAAAACCAAAAATGTGCTCTATAGGAACAAATAACCAATCCACAATGTTATAATTTCTGAAGAACTAAATCTATTCAGAAATATTAAATTAATTAGTTGAGATTAAAACTATGAGGCAATATTGTAATTTTGTAAAGGTAATATATTCCTATAGATGTAATGCTATTCCCAGAGCAAGAGGTTATGGTATAGCAATAAACCTTACCAAGAATAAAGAGTTACATAGATTGGATTCATGCCCTTACTTAAATGGAAATTTTAAATTTGTAAACAGGAAAACAGAAGTGTGATTCTTGCATCATTCTGTGAAAAAATTATAATTTATTTATATTAACTTGAAAAATCTTCTCTCCCATGAGAATTCTTAAAATAAAAGCTTTCTTCAGTTTTTCAATAACTTGTAATAAACGTAAGTATTTTGTTTTCACTGTAGTAGGCTGCTGTGGCCTTTTAATTAAAATAAAGAACACATCATTTGATATCTGGGAAACAAAATAAAGTGGCTTATCTCCTTTGGATTTACTCAGTATTCAGGAAAATATAAATATTCCCACATACAGTATGGGGTTTTCCTGTACTTTTTTGTACAATGTGTTATTTTTAAAATGTTGCCAACTTAGCCAAAAGAAATTTTCCCTCATAAAACCATAGTAATCATGTAATGGCTAAATTGGATTTAAGGACAGTAGGAATTATTTTAGAAATACGTGTCCAACTAAATTTTCATAGCACTAATTCACAGAATGCATATGAATAGTGATTTAGAAGCAAATGAAATTTGAACCAGAAATTTCAGTAGATGAGATGTTTATTTTTATACTTCATGAGTAAAGGAGAAAATAGCTTATTTTGAAAAAATAAGAGTCTGGGTGCACTGGCTCATGCCTGTAATCTCAGCACTTTGGGAGGCTGAGGCGGGTGGATCATTTGAGGTCAGGAGTTTGGCACCAGTTTGGCCAACATGGTGAAACACCGTTTCTACTAAAAATACAAAAAAATTACCGGGGTGTGGTGGTGCATGCCTGTAATTCCAGCTACTCAGGAGGCTGAGGCAGGAGAATCACTTGAACCCAGGAGGCGGAGGTTGCAGTGAGCTGAGACTGTGCCACCGCGCTCTCAGCCTGGGCGACAGAGCAAGACTCCATTTCAAAAAAAAAAAAAAAGAAAGAAAGAATGCTCATGAATTAGAATTGCTTTTAATTACTTTAAAAAATAGATACGACAAAAGAATAGGATGCAAATACATCTATTTACATGGCAAAAGTAGTTGTACATATATAGAGGACGTGTTTCCTTTGCCATAATGCAGGTGAGAAATTTCATTATTAGTTTTCAGACTTAGCATTTGAAAGCTATGAGTAAGGAAAAAATCTAATCAACTACCATTTCCTAGCTCTAAGGGCTTATTGAAATTGCTCCAAAACCAAAGTTAACTTTACTAAGTAGTTTCCGTCAAAAAGAAATCAGATGTGATCATCTTCATGATAATTTTATAGAATTCTCAATGAGGCCTGCTAATATTAACTAAGGAGATCTGAGAAATGATGAGTTTAGAGACAAACTACTTGTGTTCCTTGCACAGAAAATGAAGCCTAGCACTTATAATTTTCCTATGTGTCTATTCTAACATTTCTCTAAATTTTCTATACACCGTCCTTTTAAATTTATAAGTGATGATGGAACTGCCAACATCAGAGCTAAGGACAGTCTATTCTGAGAATCATGTATTAGTATAACTAAAAGTCTAATTAAATAATGACTTCATCTCACCAAGATCTCATGATAATAATCAATATCCAGGCCACTGATCTTGCATTGATTTGCCCCTGTCATCACTAAACATTGTCACAGTCACACCTTCCTGATACCTTGAATTAACCTTGAGTGCAACCATTGGTCTAAAATAAAAGCAAGGAAAATATTCTGTTAGGATATTAAATCAACAAACTTCTCTAATTGCTTTGGTGGATATAGAACCAAAAGTAGAATGTTATGTAAAGTTATATAAAAGCCCTGCCTCTATAATAAAGTACACAATTAAATTGACCTAATCAAACAAGCTATACTTCTATGTGAAGGAACCAGCTCTACCCTTCTATTTCACTGAAAAGGTACATTCTTTCTCACCTTGTTTATACAGTAGATTGTGATTTTAATAATTAACATTATCTTAAATACAAAAATAAAACATAAAAAGAAGTATGTTGATATAAAGCAGGACCTATAAAAACAAACATATATAACACACACACCCACACCCACATATATATATATATATATACACACATATCTCTGTAAACTAAAAATACATTTACATATGAATCTATTCATAAAAACATATATACACACATATAAACTATACATATATAAATTATGTAAACTATGTATGTATAAGAGGGGTATATGTGTAAATATACCATAAAGATGTCTATATAAACTATATAAATATGATGTATTATATATATGTTTATGTATATGCCACATGTATGTATATATAGTTTTATGGAAATACACAAAGCTAGTTCTAGGACTTATGTACAGAGAGAATGTTTTTAAAATCTTCAGACTTATGAAATTAAAAAACATGTCAATTCTAAGTTTAATGTTTATAAAGAGTGATGTTATATCATTACACATACTAAGACATCCATTATCCTGTAGGTGATGGGTAATGGTGATTTATCCAAGCAATTTCACTTGACAGAACTTGAGAACACATCTCAGTAATCACCCTTCCCTTCCTTCTTTACTATTTCCTGTGTGTTGAAAAGTGCTCTGATGGCTACAGTTGTGTACCTTGACAATCACCTCATATCCTTGGAAGCAGCCCCTAAAACATGACTACCACTACAGAATGGCATAAAAATACTTTATGGAACTTCCTATAAGTCAATTGTGAATAGAAATTAAGAAGACATGCTTGGAATTCAAAAGGAAGGAAAAATTTGTTGATATACAATTGGAAGAAGCTTCATAAAGTTGTAAAATAATTTATCTGTTGAACATCTACTCTCAAACAAAGGATAAAATAGTGTGGTAGAGAAAACAATGATTATGATGTTTTATTAATAGTTAAGGATATTAGAAATAAAGTACAGTGACCTCATACATAATAAACTTTGTATTCTAGAGTTACTTGTTCTAGAAGAGAGCAGGAGAATAATGTCTATTTTTCTTCCTAAGCAATATTTCTTAAATTAACTGAGTGAATAAACTTAAAATATTTTCTAATAATTTCATCATATGATTCCCTTTTATTCTGAAATGTGATAGTGATTTGGAATTTTTCACTGTTCTATATTGAGTTCTTAAGGATGCTTAGCCAGTCAGATGAGAATGCACAACTATATGTGTTCATCTTTCTATTGTGTCCATTCTGATTTTAGTAGAGAAGAAAAAAAAATCAATGAAGTAATAAGCTTTTAAAAATATCAGTAAAATATAACAAATGTTCACGCACTGAGAACTAACTTCCTTCCTTCCTTCCTTCCTTCCTTCTTTCCTTCCTTCCTTCCTTCCTCCTCCCTCCCGCTTTTTTTTCCTTTCTCTCTCTCTCCCCTCTCCCTTTCTTTCTTTCTTTTCTCCCTCTTTTTCTTTTGACAGGGTCTTGCTCTATCACTGAGGCTGGAATGCAGTGGCATGATTATAGCTTACTGTAGCCTCAAACTCATGGGCTCGAGGAATCCTCATGCCTCAGCTTCCCAAGTAGCTAGGAACAGGCATGCACCATCATGCTTGGCTAATTAAAAAAAAAAAAAAAATTGTTGTAGAGATGGGTCTTGCTATGTTGCCCAGGCTTGTCTGGATTTCTTGGCCTCAAGCAATTCTCCTACCTCAGCCTCCCAAAGTGCAGGGGCTACAGGTGTGAGCCACTGTACCCAGCCCAACTGTGGTTTCTTTACTGACAAGATGTTACCATAGGCCACATCTCCACTTTTGAACGATATGCAAATAGTACCTCCTGTGACATTACACAAAATTTCACATCCTATGTTTTTCTCCCAACTGTACATTTTATCCTCATGAGATATTATCCTAGATGAGTCCCTAAAAGCTTGGCCTAATTCACACACATGCAGGCCCTGAAAGTCACAGTGTTTCATCAAAAAACAGCACTTTTCTTTCTTTGCTCCTGTGTAAATATCAAATTTCACTGCACATGAAGGGCAGAGAACAAAGTAAATTAAAAAAAAAAGGCAGACATTACTGTCCTTTCAATGTCATGAGGGTAGAATTATGTTTTGATCTGAATAACATAATCCAAATTTGTTCTTATTTAATGAAATGAGTGCTAGAATTCATTTGAGCATAAAACATTAAGATGATAAAATATTATCATATTTTGTCAATAACAGTGTCATTGCATTTTTCTTATATATTTTAAACCAAAAATGTACATTTCCATGATATAAAAATTCATTTCATGTGTGTGCCTTTCAAAGGTGTGCTTTACATTTATTTATACCTGTACTTTTCCACATTATTTCTTTACATATTTTATACAAAGAAAAGAATATATATATATACATATATATATATGTGTGTATATATATATACACACACACATATATACATATATAAAGTTTAGTTCTGTGGAAAACTGACTCTTTGTATTTTCATTCTTCAAATTCCACTTCATTTAGGACTGGCACCAAATATCAAAGAAAGCTTGACTAAATCAGAGTCTTGGATTCTACTTTAACCAAGCCTCCTTATAAATACAGCCTAAAGAACGACCAGTCTTCAATTTAATGATCACCATAGGTTGCTCTGTCTGAAATAATTGAAATTCCAGTCTGACATTATTGCTGCTTGATGGCAGCATAGCACGTATATCTTCATCTCCCCCTATCTCCACACCATAGGTGAGGTGGGTGAAAGTTTTTCGGCACTGAGCCCAGACTTTATCTTAGAATCCTTTTAAAAACTGTGTTCTAGAAAGTCACTGTGAATGGCTGAGGCTAGTGCTGGAGAATCTTCTTGCTCTGATCATGAGTTCTTCTTGAGGTTCTATGCCTGAGATTCGAATTACCAGCAGGTGAGCAGCGGTGGTTTTCAGAGTAGTTGCTCCTTTTATTATGTAACAATTACTCAACACAAACCCTGTATCAGATTCAGTATAGGCTCTGGCAATGCATTTACCAATAACACATGGTCCCTGCACTCAAGAAATATATAATCCTATGGGTCATTCTGACAGATAAAACAGACATGTACAACCTATGAGGTGTGAAAAGGGACTACATAGAAGGACACTTGTCAGGGAGTTAGAGGAGAGAAGGCATCACATGAATTTCTCACCTTTATCACCCAGGTAACAGAAGGCATTACCACATTTAAGGAATTACAAATATCCAGCATTGGATTACACTTTTTTTTCCAATTGTATGAAAAGCATTTTAGTTTCCTACTCTAAAAAATGGGGAAAATAATGGTATGTACTTCACAGGGTTTATGTGAGGATTAACTGAAATAATACATGTATTATTGATCTACCTATCTATGTATCTATCTTTGTATCTGTGTATCTATGTATCTATCTATCTTTCTGTCCATCTCTATCAATTTATTTTTACCTTTAACATATTTTAGCATTAACATTCTTTATATGTTTCCCTATATGTCAGACATGATTCTAACACATTGTATACATGTTATTGCTACAGGTTGAATGTTTGTGTCCCCCGTAATCCCCATGTTAAAACCTAATCTTCAATTTGATGGTCTTAATATTAGGAGGTAGAGCGTTTGGGAGACAATTAGGTCATGAGGGTGGGGATCTCATGAGTGGGATTAGTGCCCTTGTAAAAGAGACCCCAGAGATAGCTTGCTCCCCCTTCCGCCATATGAGAACACAGAAAAGAGAACCCATCTATTAAAATGGAAGAAAGACTTCACCAGACACAATGTGCTGGCACCTTGATCTTGGATTTCCCAGCCTCCTAGCTGTTTAGGCTACTTTGCTATCCTAGCCAAAATAGATTATAAGAATCATTTAACGTAATGCATTAAGTATATTAACTTATATAGTGCTTCTCTATATAGCAGAAGTCCTATCCGAAAGGTACACTGCAGAAGTGCCATTTTTCATTACTAAGGCTGGCATGTGGCTGGCACAAAGGGTCTGGGGATAGCAACAGATGAAGAAGGAGGAGGCAGATTTCAGGCCATGGGGAGGAAGGGGGATGGCTTCACAGACCCTGACAATAGCCCAAAACTTTCCAAATGTAAGTCTTTGGACCACATCAAAATCACCTAGAAAACTTTTTAGAAATAACAATTCCCAAGCCCCAAACATGATGATTGTGATTCAATGTTTCTGGCAGGAGCTTGAGGATCTGTGTCTTTAAAAACTACCCGTGGTAATTCTGAGGCCGAGTCACATTTTGGAATCAGCAAGAGAGACAGTGAAGAAGGAGTAGATGCAGATCCTCCAAAGAGAGTCATGGAGGGATGTGAAATTCAGAAAGACCCCTCTGCAGTGTGGAACAGGTTAGGCAAGGGAGCAGGACAAGAGGCAAGGAGGCAGTTGACCCTTTGTAGATGAAACCTCCACCCTGAGGTCATTTTATTCATTATTAAACATTCTACCCTGGAGATCTGATCAGATATTTGCAGATTTTCCAAGGAACCTATCTCTTTATGCAAAAAACAGTAATAATAAAGCAAAGAATAAATGTACTATATTGATTCCTTTCTCTTGACAGAGCTTTCAAACAGATGATTAGGAAGAGTAAAAGAAGGGGGGTCACAGTGTCTAAGCTCCAAAGCACTATGATTGTATAGAAATAGCTTTGAAAGTGACACTTTTACTCCACTGCATTTTGCCCTGACACACATAGGAAAGTGACACTTATGTCATCTAAATGATCAAAACAAGAATTTGAATATTAGGAAATATCTGTAGAAAGAATATTTTCATAGTCACAGTCAAATTTAAAATTATTTTACATTTTCTAGAATCTGATCCTTTCATAGAATCTTTACTGGATGTGTTAAATAACATTTATTTGACTAGTTGACATTATTATAATTGCAGTTAAAAATTTTAGTCAAAACTTTAATAACTGTTTCTTATTAAGTGCATAAGAGGCTTACTGTAAAATTTAAAATTATCTGGCAAACAAATACATGCTTAATAAATATTCCTTGAATAAAGGAATGAATGCATGGATGCATAATTGAACACAATGAAAGTTTTCACCATGTTCCAACAATGTTCTGGTCCAACGAGTTGTTTAGGATAACATAAAAATAGAAATATTCTTATGTCCAAAGAAATATGTTCGTAGATATTGAGTCTTTACTATGAATTAGGCACTGCTTTTGATCTTTATCACATTCTCATGAGAGAGCGTATTAGTCGACTTCACAAATGAAAAAAACTGAAGGTTAAGTTAGATTTAAAATTACTTAAAGTAAAAATGTCATCATGCATTCTAGACACAATGATACCCAGTTTCTCCAACATGGAACTGGATAAATTATGAAATGGACACATGTAAAATATTATGCAATCATTAAGTAATGCTTTGTAAGACAAAAATATCAGTACTATATTTTGAGAATTTTCTCATGTTACTTGACAGAAAGTAATTTGCAAAAAGAATAGTTGACTTGCAAAATAGCATGTAAAATATTAACTCCCCAAAATGTGCACAACTGTAAATGAATGTAAAATACTAAAATAACACATAATAAAATATTAACAGTAGTTAGTGGTTTTCTCCTGGGTGAGAGAATGGTGAATAGTGATCATTTTATTCTTCATACTCTTCTTTATATTTCTCCACAATTCATTGGTTCCAATATTATAGTAAGAGGGAAAATATTCAAAGTGTAATAGTTGTTTATGCAAGTAGATAATGGATATGTATAATATACACAGTCTTTACTTTTCTTCTCTTGGTCCTATTCTGAAATACATCTGAACTCCTGTTATTTCAAAGTTACCCAAATATCTGCAATGTTTTTTCCTCTTTTTCTTTATTTCTTATCTTCTGCATAACAACCCTAAGGGTTGCATTGACCCTGCTTCATCTTTGTTCAGATGAAACTTTCCAATGAAATTATCACACAAGCCTTAATTTTTGTTAATATCCTTCATTGGCCTTGAAATGCATTTGGTGAACTATCTGTAAGATCACAGAGTTGAATGTCTAACAGAGTGTCTCAAATTTAGTAAATGTCATTAAATGATAAATAAAAGAATAAGCAAATAGAGTGAGTAACTTTGAAAGTCAAAGAGGTTGTTACGTGCATTAAATTCTGATAAAATTCTAGGTATAAGTAAATAAAAGACAGAAAGAATATTATGGCTCAAACTATGTCACACAACATTTAAATTTTTGTTTTTGAAAATGAAACTTGGGGTTGAGTAATGGATCAATTCATGTCTTTACCCTATGAGGATCTGTGTCTATCCGGTAACAAAAAATATTATTATTATTCATCAAACTAAAAAACCTTCAGTCATTTGCATAAAAGGGGGAAAATGTCACAACTGGTGAAAAAGAAACAACAGTAACTGAGACATAGAGAACCGGTTGTCCTCACTTTCTAACCCCATTCTTTCTTGGTAACAGAAGCCCCGATTTTTTAGTTTAGCCCTGGGCTGCTCAGAATAGAGACCATATTTCTATAGCCTGGCATGGCTGTCTGCATTCCAGATTCAATACAAGCAGAAAGCGAGTATGCAGTTTCTGGGAAGTGCATTTAAAGGTAAGGGCAATCTCCGTTTTTTAATTTTTTTTTTTTTTTTTTTTTTTTGGCCAGGTCTTGCTTTGTCACCTAGGATGGAGTGCAGTGGCACAATTATGGCCCACTGTGGCCTGGAATTCCTGGGCTCAATGGATCCTCCCACCTCATCCTCCTGAGTAGCTGAGACTATAGGTATGTGTCATCACACACCCTTTTTTTAGTTTTTTGGTTTTTTTGTTTGTTTGTTTGTTTAAATTTTTGTAGAGCTAGGTGGTGTCGCTTTGTTGCCCTCTTTCTTTTCTCTTTCCTTTTCTTTTCTTTTGAGACGGAGTCTTGCTCTGTTGCCCGGGCTGGAGTGCAGTGGTGTGATCTCGGCTCACTGCAACCTCTACCTCCTGGGTTCAAGCAACCTTCCTGCCTCAGCCTCTCAAGTAGCTGGGATTACAGGTGTGCACCATTACGCCCAGCTAATTTTTGCATTTTTAGTAGAGACGGGGTTTCACCATGTTGGTTGGCCAGGATGGTCTCGATCTCTTGACCTCATGATCCAGTCACCTCGGCCTCCCAAAGTGCTGGGATTACAAGCGTGAGCCCCTGCGCCTGGCCCTGGCCTCTTTTTTTACTTCTGGCTGGAAAGATGTGATGGTCAGGCTCACTCAAATACCTTGGGCCCATAGGTAGTCACATTACAGGATAGCAGAGCAGTAAGAAAGAGCCTGGGTTACACTGATTACAGAGCTACCACATCAGCCCCATGCTGTTCACTGCAGGGCTTAGTTTACATAAGAAAAATACATTTTGTTTTGATTCACTTATTGTTAGTTTGGTTATTCAAATGAAGAAACCCTTATTTAAACTATATATAATTATTCAAATGAATTCAGAGCCAGTTATCTAAGATAGCTTCCTCCCATTAAAAATATTTATATGTTCAGATAATGACACAAAGATGAAACCTTTATATTTTTTGCTTTAGTTTGTACAGATGATTCCTAAGTATGCCTTTTAGTTTGCACATGTAGATGCAATTTAGAAATACTTTTTCCCCTATGTTACTACATCCAACTAGCTTCAGTGAAATTCTCTTTGAAGATTCTTTAACAAAAATGAAAGCTACATGTTTTAATTTCTCTGCTCAGAGTCTTCACTTACATAGATCATACTTTTGGCACATACATCTTTATGTGTCATCTAAGGAAAGTCCTATGATACATTTGAATTTGACTATTTCTTCACTGCAAAGAGAAGCTTCTGTAAAATTTATTTAATAATTACATCATACCAAATGAATTAATTTTCTAACTTTTGGGATACTATTTTACTTTGCCATCTTCATTTCATTTCAGTTTTGAGCCATTCATTCTGCATTACTGTTTTATTACAGGGATAAAAACTGAGTGACAGTAAAACTAAAACAGCTTTTTTACTATTTACGTAAAGCCTCCTTCATGCATCAAACAATGCCCAGAATAATGTCAAAACATGTAGAGAAAGAAAAATAGCACCCACCTCCTCATTAATTATGGAGCTTTCAGAGCCCTGTGATGATGTGCATTTGGGATTATTCTGGGAGCTACTGAATCAAAACAGGACAGCTAAGATCAAGCAGAATCCTGGGAGCCAGAGGAGGTCAGCATAATTTTGAGCTGCAGGAGCCTCTGGTGTTTGAAAAAATGGACAGTGTCTTCTAATAACTCTTTAGCAAAAATAAATAAATAAATAAATAAATTCAATGTTCCTCAAAATTCCAAAAGAATGATGCAAATTACCATTTTTTTCTTTTCAATTTTTTTCTTTAATTGTTGTCTTATGGAAAAACAAGCATGTGATTTCAGGAAAAAATTTTATTTGTTAGTTCCTCAAACTTGTTCTAGTTCATATGAGGCAAGAATCAGCTACTCTCTGGATTTCTAATCAGTCCAGAACTCTTTGGGACTATCTTCCTTGTTAGTGATGTTTGCTTTTTTTTTTTTTAACAAAAATATGAAAAACTTACAGTATCCACAAACATCCAGAGATGTTCAATATTGGAAGTTTGGAGTTTTGAATAGTTCTCTGTCTGTCTGTCTATCTCTCCTTTTTCTTGTTTAACAACTGTATATCGTTTTATAATTTTAAGGGTCTATGAATGCCTTTGCTACTAATTAAACTGCAAACTTAAAGTAGGAGTGGGGTTATGCCTGTAGTCTCAGCTACTCAAGAGGATGATGTGGGAGGATTGCTTGAGCCCAGGAGTTGGAGGCTGCAGTGAGCTGTGACAGCACCATTGCACTCCAGCTTGACCAACAGAGTAAGACCCCATCTCTAAAAAGTAATTAAAAAAAAAACACGATGAATTTAATAAACTCAGTGTTATGTTCTAAATGCATGATTTCTCCAACATACCAGAAAGCTGATAACTCAGTTATCAACCCTCAGCATCAACTACATTTTATATACGATCCAGTTTGGTGATCAGGAGAAAAACATTCATATTTACTGTAACCAATATTGCCCAAAGTTGATTTTTGCTCTTTGCACTGGGAATTTGCATTTACTATGATTAACATGTACATTCTCAAGGTTCAGGTCTTGCACAAGCTTTTCTTTTGTGTGAAAGTCTTTCTCTTCTCTTAATTTTCTGAACATCAGCTAATGCGTAATCATTGCTTATAAATATATATTTATTCCTTCATGAATTCTGGTCAAAGTTTGCAAAAGGCAGAAGATTTTATTTCCTTTTCAACGACAAAAACTCCAGCCTCAGCCCAGACTAGAATGTACATTTGCCAAATCCAGCCCATCAAAAGAGAGCACCTAGAGCTGACACAGATCTCTTTAGACTTCAGTAGGAATTGGATTTCCCAGATATAAGTATAAACATTCTGAATGGCCCATCTTATAATCTTTTGAGTATAGCTATGGGAAGTAGAGCTGCAGTCTGACCCTAGAAACAGAAAGGACTGTCTTTGTACAAACCCAACTCAATACCATTTGGCAGGAGAGGTGATGCTGACGGAAAAACTAGTGTTACAGATTCTGATTAACAGTTCATTTTATGACCCACCAGCTGAGAAAATCTGTTCCATCTCATTTAAGCCATTGTTATTTTTGGCTTTCCTGTCAGTAGTAGATTTTACCTAATCCTTAGTAAGTTGGTGGATATGGAAGAGAAGTAGTTAGGATAGAGAAATAAAAAATTCGAACAAGATTGATTCTTGACAGAGAGATACCTAAGTAGTGTAAGGATAGATGTGGGAATTAAATAATGTAGGGTCGGTATCTTTAAAACTGCCCTTTTCAATACAAGTATACAAACCACTTCAACTAGTAATCTTCTGTGACCTTTCCCTCGGTCTCTTCCAAACAGCAAATGGGCAAGTTTTCCTCACCTCTCTGCTTCCAGAGAGTCTTGTCCAGACATCTGGGACTAATCACATTGTATTAGGATTGCTTATGTCTTTTTGTCTTCTCTTTTCTGATTTGATCCATTTGAATGTAGAGACTGCATTTTTTGAATCACGTTGACTAACAATAAATATTTGTTTTATCATCCACAAAATGTATATTTCATATTTTCTCTGTTGGAAAGTCTTGTTCTGTTTAGCTTTTAGAAGACCATAGGCCCCATCAGCACAGGATGAAAGTTAAAAATGATCACAAATGATTCTGCTCTTGTTCAACGCCATAGAAAATTTCTTGTTCAGTGGTATTTACCCCAAGTGACCATTCCACAGAATTTTATTCTGGGAATTCTGCAAATAAAGAAGGGGTTCTGCAGTGCTATTATGATTTCAGGAAGAAATAGAAGAAAAAAAGACATCATTTATTAGATATTTCTTGATGAAATAAGAAATTGGGTCACATGGATGAATAAAATAAAGAGAAATAAAACATTGTTGAAGATAGTGATTGGAATTTTAGTGACTCCACCACCACTAAATGGTAGCTAAATCTCTAATGGAAATAGCTACCAAAGGAGATGACTGACAACTGAATTTATTAACAAACACATGACACTGTGAAATGATTTGGAGCATAATGGAAGAATGCATTATTTTTACATTAGCTTAAGTGCATATTTTATGAGAACTCCACAGAGATACAGGAAAGAAAAAAGCTTAGGTTGGTGAATGAGCATTTGAAAGCAATGTTAAACCAGGATATAGTAATGAGCAGCCAGATTTTTCTCATGTTTCAGCACCAGAAAATTATGCAAAGAGCGATAGGATTTCTTCCTAATAAATTCCATTTTCTGAGCCACTGATATGATTTGAATATAAAATTGAAAATTATATTTTCTTATTTGTTATTTCATACAAATTTTTATTTATCATAAATTAATAAAGCAGGCTCCCTCACATGGCCCCAAAGGGCAAACATTTGATTAACTCTTTCACTAAATAACATATTAAAACTTTCCATAGATTTAAAAATATGAGGTATTTTGTATTTGCATAAGAAATTATTTATGTACTTGAAATTTCTTAAGTTCTTGCGAAAAAACTTTTACAATGGGCTCATCAGATAAGAAATAGCAATTAACACAAACTCAGAAATAGCTACATGTTCTATAATAGAGCAGAAGTTTTGCTCTGAAATCAGTGATCAACGATAATAAGGAGTCCAAACTTAGGAGACAAGAGTCTTTTCAAAGGCATAAAAAAATTCAGATATCTCTTAGTTTTCTCTTTTTGAATAATAAGATAATTAAATATTATTCTGAATTTGAATCAAGCCAGAGGACAAAATATTTGAGGTAATAGAAAATAGCTTTTTAATGTCTTCAGTTGGCATACACTGTTGTTGGTCACATTCTCTAAAAACAGTGCTCTGAGATGGGGATTCTTGTGCAAGTGATTTATTGAGGGTGTGCTCTTAGGAGAAATCTGTAAGCAAGTGAGAGGAAGCAGAAAAAGGGAAGGGATGGGGCCAGCACAGATATGGTTTCAGCCTTATCCTATAAAGAGGAGCTCCAGAGCACCACACAGTAAATCCTGCCTCTGGGCAAAGGGGCCAGACATTTGTACCCCCATATCCAAACACACAAAAGACACAGGAGATCTGAAACTCCTGATCAGTCCATTCTTGGCAGCTGAATGCCCCCACCTCCTGGAGACAGGAGAAGGAAAAGAGGCATAACTTCTTATGCCAGATAGCTCCTGTGGCCCAAGGCAATCTTTCAGAGAAAGGTGTGGCTGGGAATCGAAAGCACCTGCTTATAAAGAGGATCTAGCTAGAGTGCCAATGCCATCCCTTACACATTCAATACTAAGCCCTGCCCTATTTCCAATGCAGAGAATACTGCTTGGCTGGATTCTTTCTGGGCTCCTTTTAGGAAGTCCTAAGCTGTTAACAGTTTATTACCATTTTTTGCCTACTATCTAGGAACACTTCAAAGACAGAAATCAAAATATGAAGCATCCTTTTATGGCTCAGCAAAACAAAGAAAACTAATCAATACCTTGTTCAAATCTAAAAGTTTAGTATAAGGGTGGTTTTCATTGATTCATTTTTCCATATGCACTGAGCCATGTGGATACCTTGTTTGCATTGATTTTCTTTTAAATTCATCATGTGACAACCCATTAAAAAGGGGAGAAAAGCCTCAGTTGGTACAGGCACAAGCTGACTGTATGGTGGATTTTATGGAAGTGTTGTAGTAATATTCTCAGATTTCCATTTGTTGTGGGAGGGAATCGTAAGATCTCTCTTGGTCCAAATCCATTTAGCATAGTGGAAAAAGAGGTTGCCTGAGAGCTAGAAGGAAAGTTCTTCAAGCTCTGATGTAAGTAGCTGAGTATGTCACATCTTCTTAGTACTTGTTTTTTTAATTTGCAAATTGAGAAGGCTGGAGTTTATAGTTTATAAGAGTGCTTGTATTTTTGAGTCGTATCTTTCTGAAAGGTCTGGTCTATACAACTTGGCTGATTTATGGTGAATAGGCTATAATTTTGGCCTCTGATTTCTAGTTCTCTATACATGGACTTTTTAAACTATCTGTAGCTGTCCTATACGAGGCAGCTATTAAAATTTTCTGATTTTCCAAGGACCAATATTTGGCCCTACTGCTATATGCCAGATGATACTGTGCAGGTTTAATAATATTCAAAGTGCCTTGTTTAATGCGTTGAGTTCACTGACTCCACATTTGAATGCTATGTCAATATCAAGCGGCTGTAAGTCTTCTAAATGCTTACTTTCAATTTCTGTACTTAATTTGTCATGGACTAGTAACAAACAATTCCTTGCATGGTCTGAATTATAGACCACTCTGGGTAGCATTGCTCTACCATTATTAATACAGTGCGCCAGGAATTAAAAAAAAGCATCAGGAAAGTGGAAAAATGACCCTAATCCTTTATTACACTAGCCCTTAGAACTCAAAGAGTAGTCTACTAATCAAAGTATAATAAAAAAAAAATTAAAAAAAACACACACACACAAAAAAACACACACAAACACACACACACACACACACACACACACACACACACAAAAGAAGTGTCTTTGTGCTGTCCAATATGGAGGCCACCAGCCAAATGTGGCTATTTATACTTAGACATATTAAAGTAATAAATTCAGTCACACCCCATGCTCAACAGCTACATGTGGCTGGTGAGTACCATATTGGAGAGTGTAGATACATAATATTTCCCTCATCTCAGAAAGTTCTATTGGATAGTGTTGTCCCAGAATTGTCATTCATTTATCTGCAATTTCAATGCTAGTATGTTTTGGGCACTTCCTATAACATTCTATATCTTTAGTAGTATTCTAGATTTATCTCGTGGTTCACAAAGGAAGTTTGTCCATCTTCTCATCAATATGGTGTCAGTATTAAACACCATTATTCATAGGGCACTGTATTGACTATAACCATTCAAAATAAAGAAATGAAATATTAGTTCATGTATTCAAAGTGCTTATGATCTGGTGAGGGAGTCAGTAATATGTAGAAATTAAACATACAAAGTGATTTCAGCTGCATTTTAAATAAATAAGTCTTACCTTTGTAGGAGAGATTATGAATTATTTGAGGTTATAGGAAAAACCTCAGTTGAGAGAAGGAAGTGGACCTTGTAGACTAGAATCATGAAAAAAACCTCACATTGAAGGATGAGACCTAAGATGGTATTGGAGGAAGAGTAGAAATTGACTAAGAAGAAGAAACACAATATGTATGTATATATGTGTATATGTGTGTATGCATGTGTATAATATGTATCTGTAGATGTAGATGCATATATTCATACATTTGTATATCTTCCTGTACATATTCCTATCTCAGTATTGGTTATATTTGGAGACTGTGTTTTAAAATTCTGTATTGAGAACTACTAAAATGGAAAATAAATCCACTTAATATGTCCTCTCCTTATTTAGAATGAACAAGTTCTGGTGTTCTTCCTGAATATATAAAACCTCGGCTATTCATTTTTCAGTGGCATAAAACAAAACAAATTCATTATCTATCTCATCTGGAGATAAGAAGTCCAACACAGATCTCACTGGGCTAAAACCAAGGTGTCGGCAGAGCTGCATTCCTCTCTGGAGGCTTTAGGGGAGAATCTGCTTCATTGTTTTTTCAGCTTCTAGAAGCTGCCTGCATTCCTTGGCTGATGGCCACTTCCTCCATCTTCAAAACCAAATAAAGCTGGTGAAGTTTTTCTCACATAACACCATCTGACCTTCTTGTCGACCATCTTCTTCCATTTTTAAGGACTCTTGTGGTTACACTGAGTCCACTTGGATAATCCAGAATAGTCTGTCTGTGTCAAGGTCATCTGAAAGCAACTCTATGGCGATTTCTCTTCAGCATAAGATATTTTAGACAGTAATCAAAGCTCTGCATTCTTTACTTTCCTTCTATTTCACTAATTACCCAGGGAGAAAGCAAATAGTAAATTGTGTATATTTTGTAATGCTTCTTTTTCACAGCTATGGACTTTCTTTTTAGTACTTATCCTATTGCAATTTCAGGGAATTGTCTACAAGTCAAAGAAATAGCAGCAGTCCTTAGGTAGGACAAAGATATGTACCAATGCTGAGAAAGTCAGGCTGAAGCAGAAGGCAGTAAGGATGTGCATATGTCTAGCCATGAATTTCCCTTCCATTCTGAACCACAAATCATTAACCTCAAGAGGTTTTTACAGTAAATCTGCTAATATCATGTATTGGCTCTCTCCAACAAGTTCTGTTATGAATCAAAAGGAAAAAAATCAGCACATATAATGAAATAACCACAAATAAAGACACACCACACACACACACACACACACACACACACACACACACACACACACACACACCCCTTGTCATCTTGGCAAATCATAGAAAACCAATTTGGCTTGGAATAACAGCACACACTTCTGAACATTTAAATAATAAAGCATAAATGCAATGATAATTGAAAATTCATTAGCTGATTCTATAATCTGGCAATGAAACCCATTTGATTGTCTCTCTGTTTCTTTCTCTGACAGGAAACCAAATGCAGCAATGAATTTGAACCCTTGGATTATTTACTGTCATGTTTTTAAAATAATGGAATGAAAAGGTGGTCTAGTCCTGAGTTAGCAGTGAGCAAGTTTTGGGTGCAGGTTCACTTTTAAGGAAAGGCTAAAAACTGAATAATGAAAACAATTTGAACCCTGAGCACAAAAGCCATGCACTTAGCTCTATTGAAATCCATGGGTGTCAGTTTTCAGAAGTGGAAATTTATATCCCACCAACTGCAGGCTAGGAGCCGTCATCACTTATTATAATTTAACAGAATGCTCTATATTTGTTACAAGAAAAAAGAAGAAATGCTATTAGAGATAATTAAAATGTGAAGTACGACTTGTTTATATTCTTATGCTGTTTCTGATTTAGGGAATAAACGTTCCAATCAAGACCAAGCATAGAAATATGGATATGTTAATTCTAAGTAATTAGGAGCCTACAGGCTGACAAATAACCTCTTGGGGCAAGCAAAAGCCTGCAGGTGGCTGTCCTTCTCCTGTCAGAAGTGCCACAAGCTGCCTAAGAGTACTTGAGCCAATGAGAATCAGCTGCTCCTACCAGAACTGAGATGGCCCACCAAGGGAGGGGGTGCCATGAGCTTCTAGTCACAGCAAGAAGAAATTTGAGAGATCGCTTCTTAAATTGCAGTCTCTTGTCTGCTACGTTGTCCCAGACAAGTGACTGCAGATTAAGAAGCGATCTCTCAAATTTCTTCAGACCGCAGCTGTAACATCCCTTTATACATTTCTTTTAAAATTTGGTCACAATTACACTTTTTTAGGTCCTCGTATTAATTCTTTAGTCATTTGTCCTTGGTTTTAGGCAAAAATGTGTATTTTTCTTTTATGTTCTTATCTAGCAATGTTTGATTTCTTTTTCAAAACCTCCTCAATTGAATTAAAAATGATTAACAGAGTTTAAAGATAAATAAACAACAACAAACCAATAAGTCTACTTTAAGACATAGAAGGGCTATAATTAGTATGTTTAGTATTATTCATATGAACAGCATTAAAATGCATATCAGATTTGACAGTTTCATCACAAATGAATGAACACTAATATACTAGGGCAACAAAGTTCTAACAGCATCAGAGGAGACATAGAAAGAATATATTTCTGAGTTGGATGCATGTGAACTGTCAGGGCAGAAAAAAGGCAGCTAAATTGGCTCAATGGAGGAGTGCTGGAATCCTAGGAGGATCACCTGAAAATTACATTTAATATGCTAACACTATTACAAGAATATTTCTATTCTTCCCATAAAGGTCTTGCTAATAGTAATTAAATTTTAAGACAGTCAGATCTGGAAAGGAATAAAAATACAGTGAAAATACGATTATGATGGCTACAGGAGGCCTTCCCTTTCAAATACTAATTTAAAAAATTGCATTTTGGCTACCCAGGGACACTAAAGCTGGCCATATTTATATTAAATTACACCTAATCACACCTACGTTTTAAAAAATCTAATACATTTAACACCAAAATGTCCTGGACTTGAGAAATATGTAAATGGCATTCTAAATGTATGGGTCTCTCCTCATCAGTAGTCACATGCAGAGTAAAGGGGAAAAATGAAACATATACACCAGGATCAGGATAGCAGGTCTTGGGGAACAAAAACCGCATTGGGTCAACAGAACTAAGATTGTGAAGTTGCTGCATTTTTCAATAAAAAACTCATTTATTTGAAAAATATGTCTAAAAATTGGACCTGTTTAAAAAATAATTTTTGTTTCTCTTATTGCCAATCAGCAAGTCTGATTTGCATAACAGCATCTGTTTTGTAGTCATCTGTTGACTTGAATCATAACCCAGCTCATCATTCATGAATAACTTGAAGAAAGTACGGAAATGCTCCCAGCACTCACTCACCATGCTCCACCCCTCAATTTCACTTCAATTATTATGATCTCTAATGCATAAAACTCAAGAAATCCCCAAAGTAAAATTCTGAAAGATTAAGCAATAAAACCCTAACGTAATATTCCTTTGGCAAGAGTTTAACATAATTTCTTTTTAAAAAATATAGATTAAAAAAATTTTTGTATCAGTTACCTTTTAAAATTTGGAGGCAATCTATTAGAAAGAAGTGATCCTCATAGTCTTGCATGCATCAGAGACAACTGGTGGACTTGTTAAAGTAATGATAGCTGGGCCCCATTCCAATTCAACATGTCCAGGAGAGTTTTCATTTCTACCAATTCCCAGGCAATGCTGAAGCTGCTGGTCCAGGGACCATACTTTGGGAATCACTAGCATTGTAGGTAAGAGCATGAGCTTCCAAGTTAGAGAACTGGACATGCCTGGCTCTGCATCCTGGCTTTCTGACCTTGGATAAGCTATTTCCCCTAAGCCTTAGTTTCTTCTTCTATAAAGTGAGGATAAAAGCAGTGCCTACATCACATGATTTTGTATAAAATAAAGGAGAAAAATGCATGTGAATTCCTTAGAATATAGTAAATGTCTAATAATAGTTTCGATTCCAAATAGGATGTGACAAAAAAAAATAAGGAAATGGATTAAAAGGAAACATTTCCATGCATCTTATTCAGCCATAGTTTTCCTTTAAGAAAGTTATGTATTACTGAGTAAAAATATACCTCTATTCAAGAAAGAAAATCAAACGTCCTATTAATTACAGGAGGTTGTTTATCTTTTCTATTAAAAAATAAAATAGCCCAAGTTCCATACTGAGGATAAAACTTTATACAGTGCCACCTAGGTATTTTATGTTTTCTTTAAAACTTAATTATTAAGATTTGTTACATAGATCATCATTGACATTAGAATGTGTAACTATAGATACTAAGTGAATACATTCTGGAAGTGTACATAACATTATAGTAGGTGTAAGATATTATGAAAAGAAAAAACCTTAAAAATCATCATTTCTGCATTTCTGGATAACAGTTATATTATTTTGACCTTTTCTCTGTATTCCAAGTTTTTTGTAGCAGGTAATAAATGGGTATTATTTTTTAATCACAGAAAGACCTTAGAATAAATGTTAATGAAACTAACAATGCCTACGGACCAAAAATTCTCAAGGCATCATGCTGCCTGTGTAACACTTGTATATTACCAGGAATTCAGAGAAACTGTCTGTGTGTTGGGGCAGGGGAACCTGCCAAAAGAAGGCACTGGGGAAAGTTACACTTCTCTTGGGTAACCACCAGCCTGCCAAGGACCTTGGAGCTAAAGTAGAAAACGATGTTTAAGCAATTAGAAGAAAAGCTCCTCTGAAAGCTAGAATACTCCAGGGCCAAGCAACAAACCTGACCTAGACGCCTAAAAAGTTTCAGGGAGAGTTGAGTTGAAAGAAACGTACTACTCTGTCTGAAACTACTTCTGCAAGGAGGGGCAGACAAGGCAGGAGAGTCATTTAAAATCTAGTTCTCTGTCTTTTTTAGATCATGTACCCCTTTGAGAACCTCGTAAAAAACTATAGGACCTTCTCAGTAAAACATGCATCTGTAGTTTTGGATGGGAGAATCGATCATCTCTCTAAAAGTTGATCTTTTATGTTCTCAGTTAAGAAACTTTGGTATAAAATAACTGAAACAGGGTAAATATTGGTGAGAAAGGCACTCAAATCTTTAGAGATATTACCATTTTCATCAAACGTTTTAATAAACACGTTATTTTAAACATTTTATTCTATGATGGCTATGCTTTGTTGTCTCACCACAAAACAAAAACCCTTCTCTCACTCTCTTATTTTTTTATAGAAATCATAGTTAGATAAGAGATCATGCCTTTTTTTGGCTTAATTAACTGTATCAAAGGGCATCTGATTATTAAGACTAGAAAGTTCTAACCCTGTTGTCACTTGGAAGCAGTTTAATCAAATTGCAGACCAAATGTGATAATGGAAATACGTTCATGTGCAGCCTAAGGACGTTTTGGTCAATGATGGACTGCATATATTATGGTGATCCCATAAGATTTTAACACCATATTTTTACTGTACCTTTGAAGTTTAGGTATGTTTAGATACATAAGTACCACTGTGTTACAAATGCCTACTCTATTCAGCACAGTCACATGCTGCACAGGTTTGTAGCCAAAGAGCAATAGGTTATACCACATAGCCTAGGTGTGTAGTAGGCTATACCATCTAGGTTTGTGTAAATACACTCTACGATGTTTACACAAGGACAAAATCACCTAATGACACATTCTCAGAAGGTATCCCTGTCATTAAGCAAGGTACACCTGTAGTGCAGTGGACTCTTGACATTGAGGACTTCCACTTAGAAGATTTAACTGAGAGAGGGAGAGAGAGAGAGAGACAGAGAGGGAGAGAGAGAGAGAGAAAGACAGAGAGAGAGAGAGAGACAGAGAGACAGAGAGAGAGAGAGAAAGAGAGAGACAGACACCATGTTTGATGGTCTACAGAAATTTTCCATTTTGCTGAGATACAAATGCAAGGCTTTTTGGGAGAGTCCTTTAGCTAGTGAATGGTTCCAGCCAAGCACCTGGAATTTGCATCTCATTGGGGTGAAGGGGCCTATTATCCTTTCTTGGCTCATCACAAGATTTCCAATAGCATTCTCTAACTTAGAAGGAAAATGATGCAGTAGGACACAAACTCTTAAAATCTATTTTTATTTTCTAAACATAGGCCTTCAGTAGCTTCAAAAAGTAGAAGAGAGAACTCACAGTAACTGTCTACTCTGGATTCGTGCTCTTAGAGACATTACCTCATGAAGACTTGCAGATTCCAACAGAGAGCAATGGAAAAGTCTACATGGTGGGAGTGGGGGGAACCTGAAAGCACCTTAGGATGCAAAACATCTCCAGAAATGATTGATTTCCCCTTATTCATGTCTTACTAATGAGTATTCTATTTATAAAGATCTCTAGGGACATACATAGCATCCCCAAAGAAACTAAATAATCCCAAATGAAAAATCTATATATGCAAGGGCTGTCGATCCCTATTCTTTTTCTTAGGATTGCTCAATGTCAGTCACTGAAGACTTTAATCTACCAGGCTTTACCCTGAGCCAATAAATCAGTTTTAGTGAGCAGCTCAGCCATTTGATAGCGGATAGCAAACAAATCTTGCCAATCCAAAGTGAAGTGTGCTTGGGGAGTGTTTACCATTTTGCTGCCAGGCTTCATTTGCTTAACCTATGTGATTGGACCAAGCCTTTGTGGCTTCATTTGTAGGCCAAGACCAGGGTTCTACAGTCCAGGCTGGACTCCAGACATCCTGTCTGATTTTGTCAGCCTTCTCTGCCTAAGGGATGGATCTGTCCTGCACATCAGGGTCATGCAACCAGGCTGAGCTTCTGCCACTAGCCTGACGCTGGATACTCCTCCTGCCCAGCGTGAGCCTAGCTTTGTCAAGTCATCTTAGCTGTCAAAATCAAAGATAAGAAATTTGGGGCATGGTCATTAGAGCTGGTGATCATTCCTTGGGGTTGGAGGGAAGGAGCAGTCCCACAGTTCTGTCGTTTCCTCTGGCTCTGGCCTTTCTTATTTCTAGCTTCTCTCTTCTGCAATCCTGTCACTAAGGGCAAGCTTGCTGAGGAAAAGCCAAAAGCCACACTGGCTACATGTGTTTTATCCTTCTGAGTTGCAGTAATTATCCATCTTAAGTTACACTTTCCTTAAAGGAAAAGACAGTCTGTAGCATCACATTGATCTATAGTCAACAGATGTATTTTCAATGGATTTTTATCACCAATGTGGGAGAGCTTCCTTTTGTTCCAAGAGCAAAATATAAACCATGATCAATTAATTTTTTGATGGCATTCAGCAATATGTATTGACTGTAACAAGATTACTGGCAATCCCCATATTTCAAACAACTTGTATTTCAAAATTTTATTTTCAATTTATTTGCCTGAGCTTAGACTATGGTTTTTCAGGGAAAATAAAATATTTTGGATTGGTAAAAGAAACTTCCAAAGTTCACCATACACAGTTACTTCTTTCACATTCCTATTATATAGAGAATATAAGTATTCTCTAGTTATTTTACCAATAAATTACATATTCAATAATGAATTATTTTAGAAGATTTCTGTAATGTGTTCAGCCATGTCTGAGTCATGTAAAGTAAAAGAGTTAGTGCCTTGGCTTTAAGAAAATGAAATAATTTGTTTTGAACTAAATCAGGCAGAAATACTTGATTTATTAAAATTGAATGTCCTCATGAAACTGATCCTCAGTGTAGAATAATTTATTATTGAAATAGCAAAAATGTTTTCAAAGAAGTTGCCTTATGAGAAATCTAATTTGCTTTTGAGTAGCATATTGTTTTGAAATTACACGACTTATTCTGGATAACATTAATAGATAACTATCAAAATGCAAGTCCTTGTAGGAAAGATAATTTTGCCACATTGTATCTTGTCTTTTTTAAAGCATGTTGAATATATAATGAGGGCATTAACCCTGCTATAAAAACTTAAGCTTCTGCACATCTTTCCTTTGAGGCTAAACTCTGTAACTTGAACATTACAAATATTAGGCCTGTTTCTCTGAGGCATTGGTGTTGATGCGAGTTTCATCCTAAGATCAGGTTGTCAGGGCACTGAGCAAGGCAGAAAGCTACATTTAAGGAGCTTTTGCAATTAGCACCTAATTAATGGGGTGATAAACATGAGTGACCGGAGGTTCCATGGTCTAACACAGTGTCATATCATTGGATGTCTCCTTACTCATTTAATCTTAGACTTCCAGCAGCAGCAACAGTGGGCATGGAAGGGTCTTCCGGCCCAGCTGAGAATGCTCTGCTAGGACAGAGGTATAAGTGTAGGGAAAAACATAAACAGTAAAAGCATAATTCCATCTTAGATGCAGTTGGCCACCTCAGGAAGAACAGAAAAAGCACTTCTTCCAGTGAGCAACTCTCAATTACTGCTCCCTATCTACAGCCTTCTTTTAAAATTTCCTCATGGGATGAAAATGCTACTTCTCAATTTTTGTTTGTCAGGTTTTGTTTGTCTATGCATACTCATTCCTCTAGTAGAGCTGATTTATGGCACCCCAAATTTTTTTCGTGACAGGTTAATTATGAGTATACAGACTACAAAATAGCCCTGCTGTAAGGATCACTACTTTATTATCATTCCTAGAGATTTAATTTAGGCACACACTCTATGGAAAAATCGAAAAGAATAAATATTAAGAAGGCTCTTAAGATTTTTATTTTTTAAATTGTTCTGCAACATGTGGTTTCATCACTATAGACAACTTCAGATAAGATAGGGCACATTCAGCATGGTATGGCCATAGACCACACAGAATTTCAGTAAGTCCCTTAACCTCACCTGGAGAATGAACATAATCACACCTGGTGATGTGTGGTACACATACACAATGGAATACTATTTAGCCATAAGAAATGAAATCCTGTCATTTGCGCAACGTGGATGGAACTGGAGGCCATTATGTTAAGTGAAATAAGCCAGGCACAGGAAGCCAAATACCACATGCTCTCATTCACATGTGGGAGCTAAAAAGGTGGATCTCATGAGGATAGAGAGTAGAATGGTGGCTACCAGAGGCCAGGAAGAATAGAGGGGAGGGAGGGATGAAGGAAAAAAAAATGGATGTAAATGTATTTATGACCATTGAAGTATACACTAAAAATGGTAAAGATAGTATATTTTATATGTATATCTTACCTCAATCTTAAACAGTGTAAAAAAAAAAGTCTTAGTTTGTTAATGGTATTAGCCAGGAGGCCTTCAACTGCAAAATGGAGCAAAGAGTAACAGGGAGGTGAAGGGGTAAGGATAGCTTCATGGTTGCTTGGGTTTGCAGCTCAGTGATATCGCCAAGGAACTGGATGCATTTTCTCTGTCTGCTTAGGCATCCCTGGCATACACTTCATCCTAAGTTTTCTACAAGATGCTAAGCACAGTTGGGATCCTAGGTTTCCTTCTCTACTTCCAGGGATAGTGAGGGTCTCTTCTAGTGGCTCTCACTGCAGGACAAATGGGAATCTTTTTCTAAAGCCCCATCACATCTCTCTGTATTTTTCTATGCTGAACTGAATGGGTTTTGCTGATACAACCAGTACAATCAGTATCAAACCACAGTTGATATCAATCCCTTTTAAACTACTAAGCTGCCATAACACTGGGGAGAAGTAGAACATAGCTGGGAAGATGACCACAGTGTGTATCACATTTTTATTATCTCTTCGGTTGGTGCTAGATGATTATTCATGCTTCTGAGCATCTTCTAAATGTTTAGCATCAAGGCATCCCAAGGGTTTTTGCCTAGTAAGAAACTGTTATCTTCAGGAGATGCCTGGATCTTTGTGGAATCTAGAAATATTGAGAGACTGGGGAAAACTAAATCAAATATTATACCAACATCTAGCATCAAAAATTTCTCAAGCCTCTTAGTTTCCATGTCATTCCAAATAATTCTATATTGATCCTTGACAGTACAGCATACATTAAACTCTAATTTGTTATTTCCATAAATATGTATGTAATATATATTTCCTATTAAATGTGACTAAGAAGAGATCTGTGGAAATTTCCATAATCCCAGTTCATTAGAATAGGATCTAATGGAATCACCTTTATGTATTCCACAGCCAGTCTAAGGAAACCTATAAAGGTTTTTAATTTGAAATTTTATTTAAAAAGGATATGAAAGTGTATGGCTATTTTAATTGGATTAAAAGTGACTTTTCTCTAAGTCTTTGATTTCAGGTGGCTTGTACCAAACATGTGCTTCTTCAGAACAGGATTTTGCTACAAATAAGAAAGCACACTCTGAATATTGTCTTATATTAACAGAATGCATTCCATTAAAGAAAAAAATGAGTATAATACAAGTGAACTGATTTGTGAATATTAAAAACTGTTTTTTAAGCTAATTGTGTTAGCCAATTACTTAGAAACAGAATTAAGTGATTATAGAAATGCCTTTGGATAAAGCTACAGAAGTTTAAAATTTTAAAGACCTTTAATCATCCACACTTTATATTTTTCTTTAAAATTAAATTTTAAATGTATTAAGCAATTATTTTCTAAGTATTTTTGGTTTTATTAATGCCCTGCACTCTTGAAGGCCCACTCTCTCTTCCATATCAATTGGCTACATCCTTTCATTTCTTCTAACAATGAGCATTTTACTAAGTACACCAGAAAGTAAAGCTACGCCTTATATTGAAGTTTTTTTCTAAGATCTGAGTTCAAGGGAATTAAAGGAAAACATTCAGTTACAAATTTTATCTTAAAATGAGCACTCCTAATTTTTTATTTTTACTCATATGTTCATAAGCATTTCTAGAAAGGCCTTAAAAGGTGACATTTAATTTTACTGAGTCAATGCCCACGGGATTACCTATTAGATTATGTTTACAGAAGATCTATTCAGTCCAATTTGCCAACAGTTTTTAAAGGGTTACAATGTGTGTAGTCTCTGAGGTAGTAATAAGTTCTGATATCTATGTTCTGAGAGCTTACAATGCATTCTCGTTGGTAAAGAGAGTAAGAAAATTTAGAACACATACCATTCATTATTTTTCTGAAAAATCAATTTAATGCATTAAGTGATTTCTCTAGAATTTTCCTTAAATATTTGTCATATCTCACTTGGTTATAATCAGGTAGAAGTCTTCCTAGGTCCAAACAATGACAGGCACAGTGCAGAATGAACCGCAGAAAGATGTTTTACAGGTGCATAACTCAGGCAGGTGAGGGGAAGCAGAAACATTTGTTGCACCAGGAATCACAAATATTTATTGAGTTTCTACTTGTGCTTGAGGATGGTAAATAAAAAGAGATACACAGCATTTTCAGTCTTTTTAAGCAAATATGAGCATGTAGGAATGGCAAACAAATCATTTCCAATATGTAAGCATATTTGGTGCTGGGAAACAGTACAGTTTTTAGAGGTTGTGTCTGTTCTCTCATTATTCAAAATTGAAACTACTACTTTTGTACATCGTGGCAAATACTTTAATCATAGTATATGTAGCACTGAATTATAACTATTCATTTGTACTGTCTGTCTTCACCAGTGGATTATAAACTTCTGACTGAAAATGTCACACTTTACACATCTCAGTCCCCTTAGCACCCAGCAAAGTGACTGTCACACTGCAGTTGCTCAGCAAATGCTTGCGTAAATGAAATGGAGAAAAAAGTAGCAAAACCACCACATGTGTGAATACTTTTCATCATCATCCTTTTCTGTATTTGGAGACCTTCCCTCAAGTTTCCCTTTCTCATGCTTTCTTCTGCCTTACCATCCAAATTTTGGTTAGGGAGAGACTGTTTAAATCTATGACATCACCTTCAGTCTAAACTTTAAAAAAATAATGAAACATGTCGGGTGCAGTGGCTCATGCCCGTAGTCTCAGCACTTTGAAAGGTCTAGGCAGGAGAATTACTTTAGCCTAGGAGTTTGAGATGAGCCTGGGCAACATAGCAAGACCCCATCACTGCAAAAATATTTTTAAAAAATTAGCCAGGTGTAGTGGCATGTGACTGTAGTCCCAGCTACTTGGGAGGCTGAGGAGGGAGGATTGCTTGAGTCCAGGAGGTTGAGGCTGCAATGAGCCATGATCATGCCACTGTACTTCAGCCTGGGCGACAGTGAGACCACATCTCAAAAAAAAAAAAAAAAAAATGAAGGAAACAAACAAAACTGATAGTAAAGTCTCATTTTCTCCTAAATAATTTAATATCTGTTCTAGGTTAGGCAAGAAAGACTGTCCAAGTTGGTGACTTGGGCTGGGCTAAAGTTGCTTATACTTTTGTTAGCTCTTGGTCCACCAAACAAACACAGCAAAGTATACACAGAAGATCAAAAGCATAAGTGAGTTACCCAACAGAGGTGTGCTCAAAAGCAGAGGTCTGGTAGCCCATATGAAGCAAAAGAAAAGTCTACCCTGTAAAGGAAATATACATTCACACACATATACCTTGGCTCACTCTTTTATATTGTTTTAGGCAAGTGCAGGAGATGAGGACCCACTCAATTCTTTGAGGATCTGTTCTGTCACTGGCTTGCTGCACAATGGTTACATTCTTATTCCTATTATGTCAAGTTGATTTGAGTAAGCAGGTTTGCCTGCCTGCAGCCAGTGACACTAAAAAGGATAGAATCATTTGACATTAAGGTGGATCATACAAGCAAAGGTGCCCCAGGAGGAGATCCCTCAGCTTGTAATTTAACTCAGTCTATGACCTCAGTGGAATAATTTTCCCCAGGAGACGTGACAGCACAGAGTTTATGTCAGAGGATCATGGTGGTCTTTCCTTTCATAACTGGCCTGTGGTCATGGCAGGAGATATTGGGCTGATAGATGTGCTGGGCTGCGGGAAGAGGGCTGGCCAGGCTGGATCTGATTTTTCACTCTACTTTTTCAGAATATTTTCCTGCCTAAAATATTGTCACAAAACGTAGTGGCTGCAAACAGTCATCCCTTATTCATTCATAATTCCAGGAGTTGGTGATTTTGGCTGGGCTCAGCTGGTCAGTTTTTCTGCTGGTCTCCTCTGAGGTGACCTAAGAGGCTGCTGTCATCTGGTGGCTTGACAAGGGCTCAATGTTCTAAATAGGCTGTCTACACATATCTGGCAGATAACGGACTGGCAGTGAGGACACCTCAGTTCTTCTCCACTGGCCTCTCCAGCAGGCTAGTTCAGTTTACCTCTTGGTGACCAAGTTTTAAGAGGGTGAGACAGAAAGAAGCTACAAGCTCTCTCAAGTCCTCAGCTCAGAAGTCCCATGGCATCACATCTACCATATCCTGCTGGTCAAAGCAAGGTACAAGGTCAACCCAAATAAAAGAGGGAGAAACAGTCTCCTCCTCTTGACCGAATGAATTGCAAAGTATTCGTGGTTATTTATTTATTTATTTATTTGAGATGGAGTCTTGCTCTGTCACCCAGGCTGGAATGCAGTGGCGCAATCTCGGCTCACTGAAAGCTCCACCTCCCGGGTTCATGCCATTCTCCTGCCTCAGCCTCCCGAGTAGCTGGGACTACAGGCGTCTGCCACCATGCCCGGCTAATTTTTTGTATTTTTAGTAGAGAGGGGGTTTCACCGTGTTAGCCAGGATGGTCTCAATCTCCTGACCGTGTGATCTGCCCGCATCAGCCTCCCAATCGTGGTTATTTTTAACTACCAAACTTCCCTTGCTAAAAAAAAAAAAAAAAAAAAAAAAAACAAACTCATAGTGTTTCCCAAATACTTACTAACTTTATATATTTACAAAAACATAATAATTAAGGAGATAATTATTAAACATGAAATGAAAACTATCTTTTTAAATGACTGCTGTCTCTTTTTATATGGTAGCAATAGTATTAAAACTTTCTTCTCTTGATAAGGGCTTTGAGTGTAAGCTATTTTCTGCAATGTGTAGAATGCTACAACATTTTTTATTCCCATGTAGAAGTCAGCGGAACAGAATGAGAATTACTGGAGCCATAATGGAAATGGAAAACTTTGGGCTATTTTCTCTTTCTAGTAGGTGAATAATGCAGTATGATAACAACGCCAGTCACTTCAGAAATAGGAGAAACAACAGAATTTTCACTGTATTGCTTTCAGTCACACTTTTGCCCTCTGGATACTTCTGGAAGACTGGTCAGGAATAAAATACGCTATTCAGAGAAAACACAGTTACATTTTACTATACGCACTACCCACTTCTTAAAAACAAAGTTACACCTTGATCCCATTATTCTTTTAAAATAGGATTTACTGTGCACAAATATTATTGTCTCCCCTCTTTTATCTGTTTTTGATTAGCCCTCCTAGGGGATGATACATCATTAAAGGGTTTTGTGCTGGGCTACTTTAAGTGATTCTGAATATTCTGTTGTGTCAGCTCACTGTAATAAAACCCAGTATTTTAACAGTATTGCTCATCCAGTTGCCATTGATAATAATGGGCTCCTTTTACGGCCTTTTTTTACACTTAAACTAATGCATGATATCATTATGTGTGGACCTCATTTTCCCAGGGTTAGTACCACCACGTTAGTCAAGGAAGCAATGACTGAATTGTCATAGGAGTTACCTTTTTCACTATGCAAGGTTATCAATCTAACATTCACAGCTAAACCTGAAATTCCTTAGGACCCTGTGAGTTCCTTCATCATGGATCATCTTTCTCCATGACCTCTAAAAGTCTTTCTAGTAGATGATCTCATTTTATTTCCAAACAACTAAAGATCAGTTACAAGCATTGTTTCTTTGGTAATACATGAGTGGGGGGAGGTGGAGGAAAAGAAAAACCAGGAAGTGTTGCATCTCGATTGCAAAGTGAGTCATTAGAAAGGATGAAAAAATTGACAGTGTGCCATCTGAAATGATCAAGTTATCAGGGCTGACATTGATACAAAGTCTCCTGATACTTGGAACAAACCAGAATGGTACCAAAGGGCTGAACATGAGCCAGATTTCATTTGTCAGTGGGTTGCTCTTATTTTGACAACATCTTGGTAAAATTGTCACATCTGTTGAAATTCTGTTTGAAAATTAGCTGTAGGAAAGAACACCAAACAATCTTATTTTCACGTATTGTGTACACAAGGATTTTCCTACAATGAGTCATCAGTCACCAGCAACAATGAAATGTCACAACAATTCCAAAGATACCATCTGTCTAACGGAGATGATTTAAAGACAAACATACGCCATTTAGCACAGCTATTTTTTAAATGACCACTGATTAAAATCAAAGCACTTCAGATCTTTTCTGAACTGTTATTAACAGCACTGATATTGGAAAACTACAATTAAAGTGTTACGTATCGATAACATCTGCTAAGACTATAAATGATGTTTATTTAAGCTTCCTCTCTTGAGAACAGCTGACATTTGAAAATGTGGAAGATGTTTGCATCACCTCTGTGTCCTCTCCACCTGGTGTTTACAAAATTTTCCCATCAGAGCCTATATCATTGTACACTTCTATTTTATTCAGTAATCACAAATGAGTAAAAGAGTTTATTTGCAGATTTTGTTCAGTAGCTAAAATATGTGTGGCCATTGCAGAAAAAAAAAATAAAGCTCATCAAGACCATGAAAACCCTTTTCTAAAAGCACTTTTCTCCATGGTTCATGATTTTGTTTACTTAATAATACTCATAGTGATCTTGGAAAATCTAGAGGATTGGGAACAAATCTACAAGAAAAAATAGCCAATTATTCAATTATAAAAGTAATACCTAAGCAGAAAGTAAAGAATATAAAAAAATGCTACACAGCTTAGGAGACTGGTATGCTTCACATAAAAATATGCCATTAAATTTCAGATGCAAAAGGTATTATGAATTCTCCATGATGGATTTTGCTTCAATAAATATTAATGGTGAGATAGAGCTAATCAGAACAACTGTCACACAATATTTGAGAGTTTGGTTACAAGTACCTATTGCCATTGCTGTGAAATATTCCACTCAATCCAACAAAGGTTTATCAGACACCACTGTGTGTGCTTACACACTTTCATCTTTTAGTCATTTTCTGTCCAAAGAGCAAAAAAGCGATCATATTTAATTTATAATAATACATTGAAGCCACTTTATAGTATTTCTTGGGGTGACAGAAACAGCATCTGTATAATAGACTAGCTTGTTATTCTAGGTTTTACCACCTGGATTCAAATTTCAAAGGACATGTTAATCCATGTCACCAAATAATAGAACTTTAAGAATAACTAACACCTATATAAGTATTGTTGTTTATTTATGTGTTTATTCCTTCATGCACTTATTCGTTTCTGTATTCAGTCTTTCGGCAGATATTTCAAGGCTGCTTAGAATGTGGGGCACTGGGTTAGGAACTGGGAGTAGTATGAACAAGAGAGAATCCAGGTTAGAGAAAGAAAAAAAATATATATATATTTTTTGCTAACTACTGTTACTAAATTAAATGATCTGGGGTAACTTTCACAACATCTCTCTTTCTGTATCCTTTCATGCGACCATTCTTATCAATAATTAATTTCAACAAAAGAACCTTATCAAATGCTTAAGGGTTAAAAAGATGCCATTACTTATTCAAGATGAAATATGTTATGCAGGAACTTTGCTGAAGTTGGACTGTCAGCCCTGCTACTATTTTAGGTGAAATGGAATTTACAACCATGTTGTGGGGGACTTATAGTAATGGACTACATTTTATCAGGTAAGCAATATGGTTCAAATACTCACCAGCCGTGTGATCTTAACTTTCCTGAACTTGTTTCTTTAATTGTTAAATGGAGATGATAATATCGACCTGAATGGGCTGTTGTGAGGACTAGGAATGATTTATGTAACATGTTTGGTGAACAGCCTCAGGAATAGTTGAGTCTTGAACAGCAACGAACTACAGATGCTGTTAATATTAGCTTCAAGCTAGGTGAGGCTAGGACGGCTCAAAGATTTTAGTAGAAATGGCTAACTGAACAAATAAACACCTTGGCAATTGCCTAAAATCTCTGCTATTTACATTTATTGTTAAAAAAAAAGGAGGGGAGAAATTTCAACTTAAAATAGCACTAAAACATATGAAGTTGGCTGCACTGCAATCAAACTAAACTTTCAAGTCTCCTCTGAAATTTTAGTAGAAGTTCATCATTTCCTCTATCTTTAAACCATTTACTAAGCTAATGACAAACAATGTCTGGGACATCATGGCCAAATCAAAGCATGCTAATGTTTCCCTTCATCACTAAAAGGAATTGTGATGGTCTATGCATTTCAAAAGCTATTCTGTGTTACTCTGGTATGTCAACAATATAACAATAAATAATGAATCTTTTTTCTTTTGGAAATATATTTCAACTTTTAAAAGTTCAATGGGCTACTTTTAACTTGAATATAAAAAGAGGAAGGTGGAAATACTGATTTTTCATGTAAAGCCATATTTTATCTCAATCACTGCTTCGCATTATTTACTTTCCAAACACCTGGCTGGAGGTAAATGCAACTGTTATTTAAATTTAGAGATTAGTTGCCTCATGTGCAGAATTTTATTATAGGTTTATTTTATTGTTTGGCCAGCCAGTTAAGACTCAAGAGATTATTTATAGGTTCTCATTTCAGATTCTAAATTTCCTCTTAAAATTTAGATTTAAGTAATCTGTTTTAAATGGCATCTAGTGACACCCAACAGGATGCCAAAACAACCAACCAGTTGGGAAGATTAAAAATTCCAGCAATAGGCCAAGTGCGGTGGCTCACGCCTGTAATCCCAGCACTTTGGGAGGCCAAGGCAGGCGGATCACGAGGTCAGGAGATCCAGACCATCCTGGCTAACACGGTGAAACCCCGCCTCTACTAAAAAATACAAAAAAATTAGCCGGACGTGGTGGCGGGTGCCTGTAGTCCCAGCTACTCGGGAGGCTGAGGCAGGAGAATGGCATGAACCTGGGAGGCGGAGCTTGCAGTGAGTCGAGATTGCGCCACTGCACTCTAGCCTGGGCGACAGAGCAAGACTCTGTCTCAAAAAAAAAAAAAAAGAAAAAAAAAAAAATTCCAGCAATAAACTGGTTATATTTTTCTGCATGATGTCAAATAATCCACATGAATACAGCAGTGGCTTCAGCATCACAGAGACCTAGGAGTCTAAGGCTACTGAAGAAAACCAAATGAGATGGAAAAAAACTTGGGATCCAATGTGTGAAGTGTTTTAGTACTTTTAAATGTTTAGAGATGCTCCCCCAAGGAGTGGCAGGCTACAAGAGAACCTTATACACCTCAGCACCCTGGCTGCCATTTTTGTTGCATTCATTCCTGCCCCTACTCCAACTCTCTGGTAACTCCCTTCTGTCATGCTTCTTCCATCTTCCATCCTATGAACATTTTAGCAGAGAACTAAGTCCTAAGTCATAGGACTTTCTGACTGTGGTGTATTTGAAGGAATTGAGAGGTTTTCTGCAACTGCAAAACACACTACCGCCTACGGAGATCCGTGACTGTGATGGGTTATGGGCAGGATTCCAGGGAATGATATAGATCAGTGAGTCAAACCTATCCTGGAAGACTTGCTCAAATCAGTAATTAAGTGCTCAATATGTAAAAACGTTTTGGTTTGTATTTCATCCATGACCATCTACCATATTAATATAGTTCTTCTCTAGAAAGACTAGGACCACAGGAGCCCGCAAGAGGAGAAAGCCCACCATCTACAGCTTGAGGAAATACCAGCAAGAAGGACGTGTTGCTCGAAGTTGAAGAGATCAGTAATTTATTTTTCCCACCTTTTCACTACCTCCTGAGAAGATGTGGAGTCTACAGAGAAACGTGCCTGAGGGTGAGGGAGATTACCAGTTCTTTCCCTCATGAGGCTAGATAAAATAAGAAAGGCAACAACTAAATCTGTAACACACAAGGCTTTTTAGAGGCAGAAAGGAAATTGGATTATCTGGAATTAAACCCCAGCTTTGACACTTACTAGCTGCGTGATCTTGAGCAGTTTACTTAAAATTTGTATGCTTTAGTTTCGTCATTTCTAAAATAAAGATAAGACTGGATCATAGGGTTATTGTGAAGAGTAAATGAGTTAATACCTATAAAATAATTAGAATAGTGCCTGGCTCCTAAGAAGGATTCTGGCTGACCCCTGAGATGTAGTCCATCAGGGTAGTGACAGGCCACCTACTCAACTAAGGTGAGTTAGCATAAACTAAGAGGGTCTAGAGATAGATTTATCCATTAAAGGAATCCAAAGGTAGGAGCATTTATTTCTGAATATTAGATCAGATAATAAATTAGCTCAGTAGTTTATTTATGCGCCACTTCTGTTCGACATAGTAGTAGAAGTGCTTCCCAGAGCAATTGGGTAAGAAGAAACAATAAAAATCATACAAATAGGCTGGGCATGGTGGCTCACATCTGTAATCCCAGCACACTGGGAGGCCAAGACAGGCAGATCACCTGAGGTGAGGAGCTTGAGACCAGCCTGGTTAACATGGTGAAACCACATCTCTACCAAAAATACAAAAATTAGCCGGGTGTGGTGGCGCATGCCTGTAATCCCAGCTACTTGGGAGGCTGAGGCAGGAGAATCGCTTGAACTCGGGAGGCGGAGGTTGCAGTGAGCCGAGATCACACCACTGCACTCCAGCCTGAGAGACAGAGTGAGTCTCAGCCTCAAGGGAAAAAAAAAAAAAAATCATACAACTAGGAAAAAAAAGTAGTCAAATTATATTTTTTGGCTGACAATATGATTTTATACCTAGAAAACCTTAAAGGTGCTGTCGAAAGGCTACTAGAACTGATAAATAATTTCAGTAAGATTTCAGAATACAAAATCAATGTACAAAAGTCAGTAGCATTTCTATATACCAATAATGCCCAGGCTGAGAATAAAATCAAGAACACAATCCCATTTACAATAGCCACGAAGAAACTGAATTACTTTGAAATACAGCTAACCGAAGAAGTGAAAGATTTCTACAAAGAGAATGATAACACGGAAATCTGAGACAACACAAATACATGGAAAAACATTCCATGCTCATGGATAGAAAGAATCAATATCATGAAAATGGCCTTAGTGCCCAAAACAATTTACAGATTAAATATAAAATTACCAACATGATTCTTTACAGAATTAGAAAAAAATTCTAAAATTAATTTGGAACCAAAAAAGAGCCCAAATAGCCAAAGCAACCCCAAGCAAAAAGAACAAAGCCAGAGGCACCACACTATTCAACTTTGAACTATACTATAAGGCTATATAGTGAACAAAACAGCTGATACTGGTAAAAACAGACATATAGACCAATGGAACAGAATAGAAAACTCAGAAATAAAGCCAAACATTTATAACCATCTGATGATTGACAAGGCCAACAGAAACGAGCAATGGGAAAAGGACTCCCTACTCAATAGATGGTTCTGGGATAACTGGCTAGCAATGTACAAAAACTGGATTCTTACCTTTCACCATATACAAAAATTCACTCGAGATAGATCAAAGATTTAAATGTAAGACCTGAAACTATAAAAATCTTAGAAGAAAACCTAGAAAATATTCTTCTTTGGCAAAGAATTTTTGACTAGTCCCCCAAAGCAATTGCAACAAAAACAAATATTGACAAGTAAGATCTAACTAAATTAAAGAGCTTCTGCATAGCCAGAGAAACTATCAATAGAGTAAACAGACACCCTACAGAATGGGAGAAAATATTTGCAAAGCATGCATCAGACAAAGGTCTAACATCTAGACTCTATAAGGAACTTAAACAAATTAACACGAAAAAATCAAATAACCCTATTAAAAATTAGGCAAAGGACATGAACAGACACTTTTCGAAAGAAGACATGCAAGCAGCCAACAAACATATGGAAAAATGGTCATCATCACTAATTGTCAGAGAAATGCAAATCAAAACCACAATGAGATGCCATCCCACACTGGTCAAAATGGCTATTATTAAAAACTCAAATATAATTGAGGCTGCACAGATAAGGGAATGCTTATACACTGCTGCTGGGAATGTAAATTAGTTCAACCCCTGTGGAAAGCAGTTTGGAGATTTCTCAAAGAACATAAAACAGAGCTGCTATTTGACATACCAATTTCATGACTGTGTATATACTCAAAGGAAAATAGATCATAATTCCAAAAACATATTGCACTCATATGTTCATTACCATACTATCACAAGAGCAAAGACATCAAATCAACCTAGATGCCCATCAATGGCAAACTGAATAAAGAAACTGTGGTACATATATACCATGGAATACTATGAAGTCATGAAAAAGAATGAGATAGTGTCCTTTGCAGCAACATGGATGGAGCTGGAGCCCATAATCCTAAGCCAACTAATGCAGGAACAGAAAGCCAAATACCTCATGTTCTCACTTATAAGAGGGAGCTAAACATTGGGCACACATGGACATAATTACGGGAACAATGGTCACTGCCGACTAGTGGAGGGGGATGACAGGAAGGGAGCATGGGTTCAAAAACTACTTATTTGATACTACGCTCATGAACTGCATATAATACACCCATGTAACAAGCCTGTACGTGTACCCCCTATATCTAAAATATAACTGGAAATTAAAAATAACAATAAAAGCATCAGAGGGCAGCATAAAAGTAGTTTATTTCTATTAATATTTAAATAGTAAATAGTTTATGACTATTTACTATTACAGATCATATAATAAGCTAGCTAAATAGTTATGTACTAGGGCAATAACACTGAGGACACACTGTTCTCATCCCATTTACAATACTTAATGCTTGAGGGCCCAGACATTTTGTCCTTCACAGGCTGCCTGCAAATGGGTTTAGATCCTGGGCTAATTTGGGAATACCATATCAATAGATATTCCTTGAAAGAAAAGACAGTAATTTGTACAATAGTTTTCAAGTTATCTCCTGTTCGCGGCTGTTTTTATCTAGATTCTAGACGAGTCATTCTGAAAAGAACAAAGTGGTGTAAGGATTTTCTGTAACCATTTTAAAATAAGGAAAATTTCCAAAGGAGGCTGTGGCTGCAGAGTATGCATTTGGAAAGAAAGTCAATGAAATGCAGATAAATAGAAGTGGGTGCCTAGCCATCTGTTTAAAACAAACATGCCCGGTTGAACACAGAGATATTTTTGCCCTTCACATCATTTGAAAAATGTGGCTCTTTTGGCTTTAATTCCATTTAGTGCAGGGTATGTGCTGAATAAATATGTGTTGTTTGATTAATTGATGGTGTCATCTCCATTTAGGATTGGGGCGAAAGTGGAAAGAGCAGGCTGTGCCTGCACATACTAATCCTCAAATATTCCACAATTTTGTTTTGGAGAAAATCCTTCCTGACTTTTGGCCCAGGGAAACAAGTAGTCATGGTTTGTATTTAATGTGAATTTCTGTGGTAACACAGTCTGAGTAGTTTTAACTTTGACATGATAAATATCACCATTTTGTAAGCAACAGGAAAGAAAAAGAATCATATTTGGAAGTAGGAAGCCAGGGTTCTCAAGCCCAATCTTTTCAATCAGTAATCCACCAAGATAAAAGATAATCATTAAGTATTATGTATTATGTACTATGTACCTTGCTTGCAGAATTGTCACAAGAGTCTGACAACTGTGTTTGCAAGTTTGAAAGAAGCTATCAGGGCCACAGTGGAGAGAGTGAGAGAAGAAAAAGGGTGGGGTATTATAGCAGTTGCAGGAGGTCAAGCAAAGACAGCAGGAGGACTGGAGAGCCAGTGAAAGGGGAGCTGTATATTTGCTTTAGCAAGATGTTTTCATCTCTGTCAACCATCCAGGATGAGACAGGAGTGGCTCTAGTAGTGGTGGCTGTAGTAGTAAGCTGTAGTTAGCTGAAGAAATGAGTGAGCCAAAATGCTGAACAAATTCACTGGGGTAGATGAAGGCAGAAAAGACACACACAAGGGAAAAAAGAGGGGGAAGAGAAAATAGATTAATTAGTGCTAACTTCTCTGTCAGGATAAAGCTGGAGAAAAAGAAGATAGAAGGTAAAAACATTAAAGCAGTTTTTTAAAGAGATATCTGTTAAATTCTGTTAAAGTAAGGTTTATTGCTTTGCAAGAGTAAAACAGTTACCCTACCCGAAATAATATTGTGAGGACTCTGATTGTTAATTAAAATAGGGATGAATCCAAAGAACATGTTACTAGAATAGCCTCCTCCAGCATCTCAGCATTCCTGTGAACAGCTCTTGCTTGTGTAGGAGATGCTCCCATAATCATCTTCTGCTCGCAAAAAGTAGTATAGTGTTGCCTAGAAATGTGATTTTGTGCTAAGGGCAGAAAAGCAATGAGTAGATGACTCTGTTTTTCATGTAGGTGGTCTTCTGGGCACACTCTTGGTGGCAGAAGGTAAACTTTGTTGTTTGTTAATGAGCATGTGTGATTGATATCAATCTGCATAATAATGAATATTGAACTCTGTTTTCTTTGAAGCTGGTGCTCTCTGCAGATGATAATGCATTTGGGGAAAGTTTGCTTCCTTCATATAGACCTAGACTGTATTATTACTGAAAATTAACAAATTTGTGTTTGGCAGGTGTGTGTGTGTGTGTGTGTGTGTGTGTGTGTGTGTGTGTGTGTGCATGTTCATTCAAGAGTTATGTCCAAATAACCAACTTCCTTCTGCACTTCACTGGCAAGAAGATATCAAAAGATGTGGTGGTGAAGTAACAAAAAATACGATAAAAGGAAGGGCAGGGATAAAAAGAAGTGTGACCTGCCACCATTCATCCCTTGGTCAATGGCACAGAAGGGGCCTTTCTCCACTGTTAAAGAGGACAGTGGTGCAGGACTTTAAGGCAGAGGTCTGCAAAAGTGGGCAGATGTCACTGGTGGAGGGAAGAGGCAACCAAGATGGAGAAATAAAGTGGTTGTTATGGGGACAACTCAAGAACATAAGTGTGACAAGTCTCTTTGTTCCCACTATGCTAGAAGGTGGTGGATATTAAAGGAGATGGCCTTTGGTTGTGGACATACATAGAGTTACTAAACCTGGGGTAAGTGAGGAGTTTTGGAGAGCTTCATATCAGTCTACATCTTATATTTACTTAGAGACTGCAGGACAAAAACCAGAATGAATGAAGAATCTTTGTCAAGTGGGACTGAGTGTCTGCTGGGAGCTTCCCAGGCAGGTCTGTGACAGGCATGCAAGTGTTCCACAGGACAACTGGGACATGCTTCTCTGTGTGCTCTATGAATTAAACTCAACATCAGGAAAGTTGTTTGAGTTGTAGGAAAAAGGTCACAGTACTAGCATGGGTAAAAACAAAGCATGTAAAACTTGGGAATATAAAAAGGCATTGTGAGCCTGGGCCACATGGTGAAACCTGTCTCTACAAAAAATAGCTAGTTGTGGTGGTGCACACTAATTTACTCTCAGCTACTCAAGAGGCTGAGTCAGGAGGATCGCTTGAGCCTGGAAGACAGAGGTTGCATGGAGCTAAGATTGTGCCACTACACTCCAGCCTGCATAACAGATGAGACCTTGTCAAAAATAAAAATAAATAAAAATAAAGGCACTGTGTATGCAGAAGAATATTTTTCAAAACTTTTATAATATATATACACTTTTGCTATGTTTTCAGATTATATAACCATACATAGCAAGTTGTAAATAGCAGATTATAAAACTATATGTGTTGAAAGAAGCCAGATAAAATAGGCCACATATTACATGATTCCATTTAGAAGAAAGATCTAGAATAGGTCATGCTTAGAGACAGAAAGCAGAATGGCGGTTTCCAGGAGGTAGGGGTGAGGGAGGACTAGGGAGTGACTTCTTGGGCAAAGAGCTTTCTTTTGGGATGATAAAAATGTTCTGGAATTAGACAATAGTGATGGTTGCTCAACATGATAAAGGCACCAGATGTCAGTGAATTGTACACTTTAAAACAGTGAATTTTATGTGATGTGTAATTTACTGCAATTAAAGATAACCATATATGCTATATCAGTCCATTTTTGAATAGAAGAAAAACAATATTATACAGGTGGAACTGATAATCAATACAGAATATGACTCAACCTAAAGTTTCACTGGAGTGCAAGGGGAAGATAACACTTAAGAGCTGGGCATTGAGAAGATGTTTTCCAGTTACTTTCCTTTTTGGTAATACATACGGTCTGGCCAAGGTGATACTTATGGTTCTATCTACCTCTAAAATTCTCTGACTTTATGATTTGAGTTTAGAATGTTGCATGACAATTCAAAAGAAATACTTATAAAATAAATTGATGTTTGATTTCAAATGTTGGAAGAAAAGTCAAATGAGTAAAAAGAAAGTTGCTAGAATGAACAAGATGTGGAGAAACAAATACAGAAAAATAAACTGTTCTACAAAAGGAGAAACAGGGCTTATTTATGGAGAGGCAATTCTACACAAAGAACCAGGACAATAATGAATAAAAATGAAATAAGTGGAGACCAAATATTCCACCAAAGATGGACTGAAAACCCCAGTCTGAAGGGGAAAGTAGGAGGCAACCATTCAGGATGATAAAGATGACAATATGAAGAGTCAAAAGGGGAACATACAAAGAAGGAGTTTAAATGCTCCATAAAACCTTAAAGTGAGAATGTTCAATAGAAGTAGAAAAACAATCACAGTGGTAGATGGGTTTTAGGGAGACCATGGAAGAAAAGAAAAGTGAAGACACCTCAGCAAAAGTTCTGAGAATCAAAAACCACGAGGGAAGGTGGCACAGACAGAGTGAAGGCAACAAAATGAATGGAAACTGTAGCAAAATGAATGATCTGACAGCATCTAAGCATGGGCAAGATGAGAAGGGGAGCAAGAAGCAGCTTAAGAAAAATATATGGAAAGTTTGAGAATTCTGTAGAAAGAAAAAAACTAAATAATAGAGGTGTTTTGAGCCAAACGGTTTCAAGGACTATATATATACGTGTATATATATACATATATACACGTATATATCACACATATATATATGTATATATATACATATATATACGTATATATATGTGTGATATATACGTATATATATGTGTGTGTGTGTATACCTATATCTCAATACACATATATACACACCCACATCTCACACACACACGTCACACGCACATACACACACACATATACACACATACAGGTGAATATATATACTCTCACACACATACTATATATACTATTTATACACACATACATATACATACATATATACAGACACATACATATATACAGACACATACATACATATATACATAAATGTATACATCACATATAAGTGTTTGAATGCAAGCTAATGCTGGAGTTCAAAAATAAAAGATAAATGATACAAGAAAGACATTCCTAATAACCTAGGGCATTATAATTCTTCTTGGCAACTATTTCCAGTATTATTGTTCCATGTTCATATAAGGAAATTAAAACTCAAGAAGTTATATACATTTTTCACAATTCTGGAATTCTACATATCAACTCAGGATTTTAATTTAGTTCTATTTAACAGTAATATTCATACAGTTCTTTCCCACGTAATATGTTCCCTAAAGATTCATTTTTGAGATTTTTGGTTAATTTTGATTATCATCTTGAAAATGGGTATAAAAGCCTAGTTTTAGATTTAATTTTCATTTTGTTACCTGATTTCAATAAGTTCTATCTTCTGGATCTGTTTGATTGCCAAATTTTCTTCTCTAACTTCCTTCCTCCAGATGTTTCCTGTGTTCCTAGAAGTTTAAATTATGAACACAGAACACACTGCCCTATAGAAAAATGTTGGTATGATAACTGAAATGGTACTATTAATTCTTTATTTAGTGCATATTCTAAGGTACCTACACTTTGTAGGCTGTGCTAAGAACAGAGCCATCAACTAGCATGTTGTTTGTATGAAAGAATGTATTTCTGAGCTCTAAGGCAATCGGCTCAGAAACAAACCTTTAAAACACAACCCATTTATTTTAGGTTGAAGAATGCCTATGAAACATGTCCACTGTTTCATCCTTTGCTTCTAATGATCTCCAGGAATCTTCCTGGATGTTATTTCTCTGGTGAAAGTTCTCTTATAAAAAAAATTCAAGATTTTGCTTATGTCTATTTTTGCTGCTGCTATCAGTTCCTATTAGAGAGATTATTACCTAACGTTAATCACCTGACTTCCTTCTTTTTGTCATAATTATTATAACCATTACTATACGGATGAAGAAACTGAGGCTGAGAGGGGTTGGGTAATTTATCCAAGGTGAAACTGCTTCTAAGGTGATAGAAATTAAAACTGAACCCTTCTCTGACTCCAAAGCCATTACTGGTTATCAGCAAAATAGAAACAGAAAAATAAATAAAATGTATAGGTCTGGATATTTTTTGTTTGTTTAAGCATTCATTCATTCATTCATTCATCATTTATTCATTCATTCAAGAACAAAAGACTTACTGGAGAAATGAAACAAAAAATGACTGGCATAGGATGAGGAAGATGGCAAAATTGAGTTAGGCCACAGACCTGCTCTAGAGGGCTCCAAAAGCTGAAGAGAATAACAGACCTAAAATCACATAATAATAATTAAGCTTGCTTGGTAAGTTGAACAGATTAAACTGATCTGGGCAAGGTGAGGAAGGCATCAAGCAGGAAGTAACATGACACCTTTTACTGGAGATGAAAAGAGTTTTCCAGGAAGATAAGAGGCTGTTTAGGAGTGGGGAGGCATGAAGGAACATAGACATCTTACTACCTAAATAATCTTCCTGAGAAATGTAAGTTACATTTAAAATTTTACTTGACTGTATCTTGTATGTAATACAAGACAAAATATTATTTGTGAAATTTTTTGTTACAGATTGAAAAAACAACATGACCTTTCCAAATTCATCCTTTGCTCCCTCAGACTACCAAGATGGGCAAATTCTTCTAAAGAGGGGAAATGTCTAGTGCAGTGTCTGCCAGGGCAGAAGGGAATGATATGTAACTCTTCCCAGTCACCATGGAAGGCACAAATTGCTTTTTAGAACTTGTGGTTTCTCCTTTATGAATGTCCAGCACCTAAGAGCTTTGACAATAAAAAAAAAAAAGAAATTTCCCAGCCTCAGAATCATTTGTGAATGCACAACCAACTCTGTCAAGGGCAAGAGAAGGTCACAGATGATGAAACCACGATAAAGCCAGAATCATGAAAATATAGATGTCTGCAGATGAATCAAAGTGAACAGAGTGACCCTCTGCTATCATCACTTAATCGCTAGGTTAGGGAAAATACTGGGAGACAAGGGATCAGACGGAGCAATTGTGACTGTTAAGGACAAGTGGGATTAGCATAAATGTATCATAATTTATCATCCTCATCACTAGTAATTTTGAGGTCTATACGTCTGAATATACCGGTCAGAAGGACCTGTAGAATTCTTAAAAAGGTATCCTTTATAACTCTAGATGCCTAATAGGTGGAAAAAAAATAGCATATTCCTTTAGCTTTTATACTTGTTTATTATTTCAGTGAAATAGAGTAATAGGTACCCTTTCTCCTAAAAGTTAGATATAAATATCACCAGTTACTATCATAAATAAGGCATAGTCTTGGCAATTAGGCTTCTAACGTTTTCATTATTTCCTGTTTGTTGTTGTTCTTCAATTTTTAGTGAAATCTGGACACTTAAGTATCATCTACTTATTTATTTAATTTTTATCGTGGTAAAATATATATGACATAAAATTTGCCATTTGAACTATTCTTAGGTGTACAATTCAATGGCATTAAGTGCAATCACAGTGTTATGCCACCATCACCTCTAATATTTTCAGACAAATTTCATCATCCAGACAGAAACTCTGTACCCATTAAAAAGCAGGCTGGGTGCAGCGGCTCATGTCTGTAGTCCACTTTGGGAGGCCAAGGCGAGTGGACCACTTGAGCTCAGGAGTTGGAGACCAGCCTGGGCAACATGTCAAAACCCCTGGCTCTACAAAAAATACAAAAATCAGCCGGGGGTGGTGGTATGCAGTCGTAGTCCCAGCTACTTGGGAGGCTGAGGTGGGAGGATCACGGGAGCCCAGAGGTGGAGGTTGCAGTGAGCCATGATCGCACCACTGCTCTCCAGCCTGGTTGACAGAATGAGACCCAGCCTCAAAAAAATTTTTTAAAAATCATAAATTTAAAAAATAATGAAAACAATTCCCCATTGCCCTCTCCCTCCACCTGGTAACCTCCATTATACTTTCTTAGACATTTTTATTTTGTGGAAACCAGTTCAAATATACCAAGCTGCCAGGCTGGTATGGGATGTCCTGTGACTAATGATTAAGTCAGGTTAAAGGTGAACATGTCCATTTCAATTCAGCTTTGTTGATCTGTTCTCATGTATAATATACACATTTATTGTGAACTTGGGGATCCTTGAAAATCTCAGATTTTATGCCACTTGAATATTAAAGCTGTATTCACTTGGTTATTTCTTATTGGACTATCAACCATAATTAAACACACACACAGAAACTCACTATCACCATGAGCATGAACCAACACAAAACCTATTGACTCCTGCAAGGAGAAATGTCATTGTCTATGCCAGGCAAAGCAGAACATAAGTGGATAGTCATAAATTGCTTCATTATCTAAATTGTAGGTTATAGGCACTAAGAAAATTTCTCAGAATATTATTGAAATCTTTCATTGATTAAGAAAACAAACATTTTTTTGAAATGAAAAATATTAAGGACTAATTTGGAGGTGTTAAATTTGAGCCAGGGAGAGTGCCTTTGCCACTGGAAATGTAGAAGGTTCCCAACAACGCAGAAGACCCCCAAAGTTGGGAGAAGAGGTAAGTATCCAATCAATAACAAATGTCAGTTGAAAATGAAGAGGAAAGCCCTGTCATCTCCTCAGATAAGTTTTATATCTCAACTCACTGTTTTGGAAATATCAGAACATATGGGGATTTAAAAACATTGCAATGAAGGGGGATTAATGGAAAAACAATTTTATCTGTCAAAGATCACTACAAAGCAAACAAAAAACAAGCAAACCAAAGCAACTGTAAAGGGCATATTCATCAATAATCCTGGCTGTGTTTTAAAGGTGCTTAGATGCCACAAAAACATCTCCATCATCACATAAATATAATTTTAGTGTTTATCTGAGTTGGGGATGACATTTATTGCCTCACACACTCTCTCTTAAAGCACAGTGTTTACTTATCTAGCAGTGCTTTCAGAGTGTTTGCATTTGGAAAGGAACACGTCTTGCATCTTTGCTAAACCTTAAATAAATTATGCATTCAATCATATTTCTGCTATAAAACATACTTTGTATCAGGGACAACAATTTAAACCCATACCTAACATTGGATGTATCTATTAATAATTTAAGAAAAAATTGCCTGGACACCACTATCTACAGTTCATGAATTTATAGTGAAACATGATTAAATGAATCCACAGCTAGGAATCAAGCTGTAGAACAAGTGTGCATTCCCCAAGATGGCCTACAAGAATAATTGGATCTTCTGAAAGAAAACATTTGTTAAGCAAATCAATCAAATCAATCTAGCCTGACATAACTGGCTGTCATTCCTGCACAAAATGAAATTTATACTACATGAATATGTATTTGAATTGGAGAAAATACGATAGGAGGAATATAATCATTTAATGGGGGGCTCTTTTAATACACAGTTGACAGTTAAAATTTTTATTTTGGTAAGGAGAAAAGTGTCTGTTGTTACCACTCCAAGACAAAGTTAATTCTGGACTGGACAAGTTAAAATTATGTAACTGATGAGTAACTTTATTGTTTCTTAATTTAAATTTATGAGAAATATATTCTTATTATTGGAAGAGTATCCTGCAAGTTACAACACAGGATACAATAATATTGCCAAATAATTAGGGTAGTAAAATTAAGTATGTCACTTAAATTGAAAAACAAAAGGGAAATTGAAAAGTGAAAAATAGCCACAGGAGCATCTGCCCTTCTATCACGGAGGCTTACGTGCTCAGACTATATTTTCTGCTGAAACAAAGAGATTCTTTTAAGACCCAGCTAATTCTCAAAAGAATTTATCAAGGTTTCCACAATCTATAAAAATAACTCAGTACTGCAACAGAAACTTCTGATTGTGGTGGCGAAAAAAAAAAGCGTTGAAGAGGAAAAAAAAGAAACCACTTTTGTACGGGGAATCAATCTTGATGCTAAGCAGTGTTAATTCCCATATATGTCTTTGATTGTATTTATTAATATGTGTACTCCCTCCTCTACAGCGTTTTACATGGCACAGCAACTTTGGGAAATTAGGCATCATTCAATTCAGTTGCCTGAATTTTTTTTAGGTCAACATATTGCTGTTCATGTTGATAAATTTTAAAATTGCATGTTGCATATTGCGTATCTATCCATCAACTGTTTTTCATAGTAAACTCTGTTTTCATCTTGTTTGTCTTTATAATTATGGGACTATATCAGAAGTCAATGAAATATTACCATTCATCTCTTTTTTTTCCGATGGATGGTTTGTCCTACTTCAGTTTATCACATTTTCTTTCATGAATTTATGTGAATGTTCTAAGTTAGGGACCAACACTTTCATGCTGTAGTTTGGAAGAATGTGCCACTGTCTTGCCTTTACACATCTTCTGAAATCTACACATTGAAGACTCACACATCAAGCATCCAGCAGGCAACCCTGCACTTAACGGCATGCTTCTTACAGCTGGCACATCTAGGAAGGACTAGTTCTCCTTTTTGCAATCAAAGCATACCTCTCGAAGGCCAAAAATTATAAGAATCACTGAAGAACCACAAGTTTTCATGCATAAAATAAACTGAACTTGGTTACTATCAAGTCTTAAAAAGCTGAGTTTTGAAAGTCAGGAAAACTCCTTTATACAGAGTCAGATTCAAGGTCAGAAATTTCTAGAGAGTGCTAACACAAGACAGGACCCTTTCATTCCAGGCAATATTGTGACCAGATATCTTAAAACCTCCCCATGAGAAAACACTTAGAAGTGCTAGATGAGAGTTTTAGAAACACTCATTTAAATGTGTAATAAGCTGGAAAAAAGTAAGGAAAATACACAGGAGCCAAAACCCAAGTTGAAACTAAAAGCCAGCACTTAGACTGATGCCCTAGCTGCCCAGCAGAATGGATGAGCTTGGGGTTGATAGTCTAATATTCAAGAGTTTGGGGTTTTAACAGCCTCTCTAGGAAAATAGATGAGGCCTTGGCCTGTACAAAGTGGAATAAAAATTCATACTCAAATTCTCAAAACCCAGAAGACTGAGGCATTAAGTATTTATTTATGGATGTAAACTGTGTGTCCTTATACCACTTGTTTATACCAATTGTTAAATTTTCATGAATTTTGTAAGCTTGTTGTTAAATAGAGTCATTATTTAAAATTAGGTAAATTTTGAATTAAGTAAGTCATATTAAAAATAAAGTTTGGGGCGAGAGCGGTGGCTCATGTCTGTAATCTTAGCACTTTTGGAGGCCAAGGCAGGAGGATTGCTTGAGCCCAGGAGTTCAAGACCAGCCTGGGCAACATAGCAAGACCTCATGTCTACAAAAATAAACTCATAAATGCTCAAAACTTATGACTTCCTAATTATTTGTTACATTTTACCACTACCTATGTTTTTGAGGTTGTCTGTGTGAATTGTATCTCTATAGCGGAAATACAACATAATGCTATTATTCTTTTGCACATTGCTTCCCAACTTCATGTTCATTAATGACACACTGGTAGCTAGAAATTGGCCATGATAGAAGTATTATACTGTGGAGATCGGCAAATGCTACAAGACTTCACTAATTGTTTTGATTGCATAGACTTAAGAAAATGATGGAAATTTTGTTATTAATGCAGATTCACTTTAATGTGTAGCATGTCTGTAGTTATATTGTGAGTAGAAAAGAAAAAACGTCGAGTATTTTGACATCTATTATGCAATTCAGTAGTGACTGATATCATTGGTGAACAAATGAAATTCCAACATCTTGTTGCTACCCATTAACAAAAACAAAAATATCAACAAACACTCATGTTGGAACTACATTCATTTGTCAATTACAACCACAGACAGGCTACAGATGCAGGAGTTCAGCAACAATCAGTGAAAGTGTGGGACTGAATATACAAATGGGCAGTGGACAAATCATATACGACAACAGAATTCTCATCCACAACTTCTGCAACATGCAGTCCAGGAAGTCAAACTGCAACCTCTGCAGCAATCAGCCCAAAACAGTCAGAACTTGGTCAATGTCTTTCGGCTTCCCTATTTTTTTTGTTGTCTCTGTTTGCAACTCAGGAGGAACCAGGGAAAGCCAAAATACACTCTCCAATCTCACCACGTAAGATGTCCTGCTTCTAGTTAGCCTGCCTGCGCTTCACCTTGCCAACAACTTTCAATTGGAGCATTCCTGTGCTTTCCACCATTTTTTAATTATAAAGCTCTCCCTCTGCTCTTCCTGACTTTGAGTCTGCCAAATACAAGTGATGATGGCTGACTCCCTTGCAGGCACAAGCTCTGAATAATTAGTCCTTATTCTCAGTTGGGTAAAAGTCTCCTTTTACATCCACGAATACATTCTATGACAATCAATTGACTATATTAAACTGCAAATAGAGTATTTTACATTATATTATTAGTAGTCATAGGTGTACTATATAATCCTTTGGGTCAGTAAGATTTATAATAAACCTACGTTTAGACATATATGCATACTTTCTTTTTCAAAGGGTTGGTTGCTAAACATTTACCAGCACACCACTGGACTTACACTCTGTGAAATACGGATTAGGAAAAAAAATCAACCCACTGGCACAGGGGAGACCTAGTCTCAGTAGAAGACAAACAAGCCTGATTCTCCTGAAAACATTAGTCTTGGTTCTTCTCTCGCCTGAGTCTGGGATGCAAATTTACATCGCTTATGTGGTCAAAGGAAAATCCCCTCCCCACCCCAACACACACACCAAGAAATTAACATTTAAGTGTCCCCATCGATGATAACTTTGAGGAGACTGGTGGAAGCCAACACAAACCCTTTCTGCAGGAATACTCCCAATTCCGATACACCTACTATTCAGCCCTGCTTAACATGTGCCCATAATCAAATGTGCAAAGAATTTACCATAACCAGGAGTAAACAAATATGAGAAACAGCAGGATATAGCGCAACTAACAAATTCCTTGAAATATGAGAACAAGGTAAACATCATATTTATACCAACTTTTTATAGATGGAGTACACATGTGATTGGGATTTCTTTTCTAACTGCCTAGTGGCTGTAAAACAAGCAAAATGACATGTAGGTATCTTATGTTTAAATTAGGTCTTTCTTCAAATTATCGAGGTGATAGAAGAAGGTGGGCTGGGTGTGGTGGCTCATGCCTGTAATCCCAGCACTTTGGGAGGCCGAGGCGGGCGGATCACAAAGTCAGGAGATCGAGACCATCCTGGCTAACACAGTGAAACCCCGTCTCTACTAAAAATACAAAAAAATTAGCTAGGCATGGTGGCGGGCGCCTGTAGTCCCAACTACTCGGGAGGCTGAGGCAGGAGAATGGCGTGAACCTGGGAGGCGGAGCTTGCAGTGAGCCGAGATGGCGCCACTGCACTCCAGCCTGGGCGACAGAGCAAGACTCCGTCAGGAAAAAATAAATAAATAAATAAATAAATAAATAAATAAATAAATAAATAAAATAAAAGGAAGAAACTGGAATTTGTTTCAGCTTATATAGACTTGACTGCAATTATAGAAGTCTTTTGTAAAAAGGCATTTCACCCAATAAACTGCCACTGTACTGCCTGGCTATTGGAGAAGAAGCATGTAGCGCTAGCAGGTGCTTCAGAGAACCCCCCAGATAGGGGATGCTGAGTGATGGGAGAGTTCAGGTGTGGGATCTGTAACTGATTCTGTCATTTTGAGAAAAAAAATCATGCACCATTCATAAAATACATTTTAATCAAACCGCAGTACTATGACGGAAACAGCAATTATTAACAGAAAAGAGATTAGAGCCTTGCCTCCTTCCCAGCTTGTCCTCAGCTATTCCCTCTAAATCACCCTTAAAAAGAGTGAGTGCCTGCCCATTTCTTGGGGTTTTTGCTTTTTTAGCGTAGGAGAGTAGAACAGGTAGAAACAGTGAGAAACAGGACTGAAGAGACCCAGGAGGGTGAAGAAATTTTAAAAAGGCTTTTGAAATTTGGGTTTGAGAGCAAGAAGCCATCTTTACATTGGATTTTTTTTTTGAAAGAGACTGTGAGGCAGAAATTTGTGTGCATAAGGTTTATTCAGGCATGAGACAGTAGATAAATGCAATTGAGCAGAGGGCAAAGCTGAACTGCAGTGTGGCTGCAATGAGACCTCAGCCAATTCTATGAGGGACTCCAGAATTGGGATGCAAGCGATTCCACTTAATAAAGTTAAGCTCCAGAGTGAGAGTAAGATGAGGGATATACATTTCTAGCTCTGTCATCAGTGTGTTGGTTTTGAGAGTCTTTTCTTGGGTACGCATCTCATTGGGTTAAGCCACTCTGTTGAGCCATTTGATTTTGACTCTAAGCAGTTCTCACCTTATCTACTTACTTTAGACCCTACTCCCCATCTAAGATGGAATTAAGTATAGTATACGTAGTATATTATACTATAATTCAGTATACTGTACATAGAATTGAAGAGCAATTGAGATATAATGTATAATTCATTCATGCAACAGTATCTAATGATTGTCCTTGCTTTAACGTGCTTACAATCTGTTAGCTGAATGGAAAGACACTGAGGATACGTGCAATAAAGTGCTATTGAAAAGCCTGCAGCAGAGCCTTATGGGGGTACCATGAAGGCAGAGAGGTCAGATCCATCTCATAGAGGCCATATGCTTGAGTTGAGTTTGCAAAGAGAGGTAGATATTTGTGCACCTTGGACAAATGGAATGGAGCAAGGCCATCCCAACTGAGGGAGCAGAATGAACTAGAGAAAAATCTGAGCAACAGAATAGCCTTCCATTAGCATCTGAATCTATTTATATCACTATACTGCTAATTTCATGTAACATTTTTCAAGAAGTTTGAATGTACTATTAGTGTAGTTGGCAGTATGTAGATCCCTAAAGAGCTCCAGCTTCTGGCACTCGTACCCCTCCCTGTGTAATCCCTCCTCTTGAGAATGAGCTGGACTGGCTTCTAATGAATAGACTATGGCAACAGTGATGAAATGCCACTTTCATGATCAGATTAAAAGACACTGTGGGCCGGGTGCACTGGCTCATGCCTGTAATCCCACTCCTTTGGGAGGCCGAGGTGGGTGGATTGCTTGAGCCCAGGAGTTTGAGACCAACCTGGTCAACATGGCAAAAACCTGTCCCTACAAAAAACACAAAAAAATTAGCCAGGCATGGTGGCAGGTGCCTGTAGTCCCAACTCCTCAGGAGGCTGAGGTGGGAGGATCACCAAAGCCTGGGAGTTCGAGTCTGCAGTGAGCCATGTTTGTACCACTACACTCCAGCCTGGGTGACAGAGTGACACCTTGGCTAGATGACGCTTGACTGCTATGTTGTGAGATGTCCTGAGGCAAGGCTCGAAGCTAAGTTTTACCCAGACTCCTGACTCACAGAACCCTTCAGAAAATAGATGTGTGTTGCTTTAAGCTGCTAAGTTTCAAAGTAATCTGTTATGAAGTAATAGATGACTAATTCAGTTAGCATATTACTCTTTGTGTGAAATGTTTTCTACTACCATGAATTAGGGCAGTAGATTGGGTTCATGTTTAGATAAAATTTTTCTTATGTAGTAAAAATTGCATGCCAGCCTGAACTTAGGAATTCTCTTAAAAACTGGAAATACCTTCCCTACATAAGGCTGGACCAACGCAGCTGGTGTTGTGAGAGATTTCTGTATACCAGGTACCTCTAAAGAAAGACTACAAATAATAAGAGTCAAAATTGATATTATCCTCGTTTTGCACCATAGGAAAGTTACGTATATTTTAAAAGACCAATTTAAATATACTTTTTCAGGTCCTGGATACTACCCAAGCTAAGGATATAATGCCTTTTCTCTAGGATAATGCCCTGGAGACTTGAGACAATGTCCTACAAAATAAGTCTATATAAGTGTCTATTTTGATAGATATACTATTTCTTGTATAGTCTTATTAGTGTTGGGATGATTGGCATATCATCTTTCTCTAAAGACAGTCAAAGAATCTCCACAAATGTGTGTCTTGGTTCATTCATGTGGAAGAAGTTGATATCTTGACTGCTTCACAAGTCACTCGACTATTTCATGTTTTATACAAGCTTTTGAAAATATAAATAAAATCTACTGACTAGAGTGCCAAAGTTTATCTTGGGAGCAGTACGTACTGCACTGCCACTGTCAACATGTCACACAATTGGCTTGCTGCTTAATCACATGCCACAATTGCCATCCTCTGATGAATTTATATGGTGGGCTAGTGGATCTGAAATATCAGTGAATTTTTGAGTTATAAGGGATATCATAGATCAACTCACATTATCAGTCACTTGTACCATGCACAGCATTTTACTAATGAGAAAAAAAATCTGCTGCATCCACTAGCCAGTGACTTTATAATATACTTTTCAGCTTCTATTTACTCATTATACAATTCAATTTAAAGATCAAGATTTCTATTTTATGTTGCTGCTCAAGGGTTTTTTTTATTACTGGATAGAACAAAAGTTTTCTATAGGCTGTCTTAAATACTCATGGGTTCATCATAGCAAGTATGACAGACATTTATGGTGGAGCACATCTTTTAAAGCCTGTTGCCCATATTTAATGATTAAGTTTTATGAGAAGGAAAGGAAATTGTTAACTTAAAGAAATACCAATTATGTGCCAAAAACTTTTTTGATGTTAACTTCTGATTTTAGAAAATTACAAACACCTAGAGAAAAAAGGGAGAATGTACAGCTATCATTCAGCTTCAGCAATTATTAATATAAAGTCATTCATCTTTTCCTATTCTCCACCCCTCCCGCCATGAACAATTATTTTAAAGCAAATCTCAGGCATCTTCTTATTTCCTCCATAAATATTTTAATGTATGTCGATGAGATAAGGACTCTTCAAAAAAATATAAATCACAACACTTTTATTCTACCTAGAAGTTAAAACGGACTCTCAATATTCTCATTAATTATCCTTTGTCTCATAAGTATACTTTTACAGTTCACTTGTTCAAATCAAGGATTTTACAGGATACAAACAACGTTCACACATTCCATTTGTTTGGTGTATCTATTGGGTCTCTTTAAATCTATAACAGTTCCTTCACTCACTCCTTTTTTGTGCCATTTATTTCTTGTACCTGGTATTTATACCTAGAGGACTTAATCAGTTGAGATGTGATTTATTATGTCTAATATTCATCCATTATGTCTGATATTCATCCATTCATCCATCCATCCATCCATCCATCCATCCATCCATTCATCCATCCATTCATCCAACCGTCCATCCTTCCATCCTTTCTGCCACACTAGATCTAGTACCTTCTCTGTAGAGGTTATAAAGAAGAGGTTTTCTCTTTTACTAACTTTACAAAATTCTAGAGAACATAGTGAAGGCAACTTAATAGCCCTAATTTTCATAGTTATAAAAAAGTAATGGCTTCTATTAAATTAAAAACAGTGCATTAAAAGGAACAAAGTCAAGAAACTAATAATTACTAAGGAGAATTTTAAAGTCTAACAAGGATGTAAGAAAAGTGTACAAATAATAATGATGCAAGGTAGAAAATAAGGTTCAAAACAGGTTGAAATAAAGTGCTTTGGGAGCTCAGAATAAGGATTAAAGACTTATTTTCTTTCAACTATTTTTCATAATAAGTTATGCATATAACTTAATCTACATAAAAAAGAAAATTAAAATTAGCATCCAGAATAATCACAGCTATGACATTTATCTAGATGAGTTCTATTAGGTAACTTTTTGCCTCTGTGCCTTGGTTTCCCTGTCTGAAAAAAAGCTTTTAGATTTTGTGGAGATTAAATATGATAATGTATATAATACACTTAACAGGATATATCTGCTCATTAAATAGTTATTTAAAAAAAAGAAAGAGTGTTTAGTGCCCTTAAAATGTTGGTGTTATGGTTAGGTGCAGTGGCTCATGCCTGTAATCCTAGCACTTTGGGAGACTGAAATCGTAGGATTCTTTGAGCTGAGGAGCTCAAGACCAGCCTGGGCAACATAGTGTGACCCCCATCTCAAAAAAAATTTTAGTGTTATTGCTTTTCTGTGGCTCATCTGTCATTTCAGCTAATATGAACTGAGATAAATAATTGAAAAAAAACGTAACTCTAAGCCTTTCTTTGAATAAAGAAGGCATTTTCTTCTCCTATATAAATGCAAACAAGTGAGATATAATACAGGCTGCCAAAATTCTATTTTTATTTATTATTATCATTATTATTATTATTATTTGAGACAGAGTCTTGCTCTGTCGCCCAGGCTGGAGTGCAGTGGCGCATCTCGGCTCACTGCAAGCTCCGCCTCCTAGGTTTACGTCTAGTTTTATATTAAATAATTTTATATTTTTTTCCTTATTCCCAACACACATGTGGCAAATATTTTTCTCAAAACATTAAAGAAGAATTTCTCTTTTTTGACAATCTAAACTATTCAGGCATGTCCAATACATATAGAATCTAATGTTTTCAGACATGTTCAACTGCTCAATTGCTCCTTCATTTTTTCTGTTTATTTTATATTATTTTATTTATTTATTTATTTTTTATTTTTTTTGACACAGCGTCTCCGTCAGCAGGCCAGAGTGCAGTGGCACGATCTGGGCTCACTGCAGCCTCCACCTCCTGGGTTCAAGCGATTTTCCTGCCTCAGCCTCCCGAGTAGGTGGGACTACAGGCACGTGTCACCACGCACAGCTAAATTTTGTATTTTTAGTAGAGACGGGGTTTCACCGTGTTGGCCCGGATGGTCTCCATCTCTTGACTTTGTGATCCGCCCACCTCAGCCTCCCAAAGTGCTGGGATTACAGGCGTGAGCCACCGTGCCCAGCCCTGCACCTTCATTTTTAATTACAACTCGGTTAGGACTCAACAGCAAGATCCCTTTTCATAAGTCCTGAAGTTTCTTCTTTTCCTGCAAGAAAATCCTGTTCCAATTCTTTCAAGGTGTGAGTTGAATGCTTCTAATTTAGAATCTGTCACCTTTATAACCTCCAAAAGCTCTTAGAACATCAAGGAAGATTTTCTTTGTCATTCAATTTTCTGTTGTCTTTCTAAATTTCTCTCTTTTATTTGTGTCTTTTTATTGTGTCCGAAAAATCTTGGCCATTGAAATTTTGTATTCTTCATACCATTTTTCAGCTATCCCAATATATCTGATTTTCTCTTTTTAAACAATTAATTGTTAGAATAACATGGTAGGGTCTCTAAAGCCTTAAGAATCTATGAATATTAATTTATGAAATAGCCCACTCTAGCATTTCAGCCTTAATTCTACAAATTAAGAAAGAATCATTGAAGTTCAAATTAAATTGAAATCAAACTAGTTGAATTTAAGTAATATTTTAGGCTTTAATGCTTAAGTACATTATTTATGGACTAGAGTTAACATTTAAAAATGAATTCATTTGTGAATTCAGCATCAAATTAGGTTTGCTTCTGTTCCAGAGTTTTTTGTTTGACTATTATCAGGAAAAATTGGCTATATTTGCTACTAATTTTTTAAAGGTATTACAGTATTCATCAGCATTTAGAATAAACTTGCATTGCCAAGAAAACTGTCTTAAAGAGTTGCTCCCAATATTAAGATCATAAGAGATATTTTTGGTCAACTAATTAAGGGTCAAACTAATTAAGGGTATTATAATTTCTTTTTTAAGTAAGGCAATTCTGTATTTAAAAATTAAAAGTGGTTTATTGGAAATTGTTTAGTATTTATTTCTGGAAGCATTTCTATCAATTACTCTTTCTTATAAATTATACTAAAAGGTAGTAATAGCCAGGCGTGGTGCTCATGCCTGTAATCCCAGCACTTTGGGAGGCCAAGGCAGAAGGATCACTTGGGGTCAGGAGCTCGAGACCAGCCTGGCCAACATGGTGAAACCCCATCTCTACTAACAATACAAAAATTAGCCAAGCACAGTGGCACATGCCTGTAACCCCAGATACTCAGGAGGATGAGGCAGGAGAATCGCTTGAATCCGGGAGGCAGAGGTTGCAGTGAGCCGAGATGAAGTCACTGCACTCCAGCCTGGGCAACAGAGCGAGACTCCATGTCAAAAAATAAAATAAAATAAGAAGTAATATTATATTATACAAAGATTGCTCAACTTTTGAAAGTACTACATGTAGGTGTAAACTTCTCTGAATGTATTTTTAAGGTTATAATTTCTGACTGTAGATAAATATAGAGCTAATTCAGATATGTCCCAGTTATGTCCCAGAAGACATTCCTCCATGTGTCTAATGATATGACTAATTTGAAAACTGACAAAAGTCCACTGCCACTATACAGCTGACTGTGCGTGTTTAAAGGCTGTTCTTGTATAAAATGAACACTTGGCTATCCCTTGAAATTTTCTTTTCAACCTGGGCTACTAACTTGAATCTTGGATATTTTGGAGAATAATTTAAAAATAAGTATATATGAAGTGTACAACAGTTTGACATCTAGGTTTTAGCAAAGTCACCATCCCATGTAATTCGTAACAGGAAAGAAATCACTGGGACAGAAAACATATGCAATAGCCCAATGTGGAGCTGTCACATCAATTCAGTGTCAGTCTCTGGCTAACCAAGGCAAATGCCTTCCTTTCTCTCTGCTTCTCCTTCTGCTTTCTCTACTACCTTATTGCCCATTCTTTCTATCGGGTGCTGGACTTGACAAATAGCACTGGCTTTGAACGGAATTAAGAGGCATTTCGTCCACCTAGTAACCACAAAATATCTGATGGGTTTCTAAATTTAGGATGCTGCAAGAAGTAGGAGGCCATAACATACATCTAGGTCATACATATTGCATTTTAAGCATAGTCTCGTCAGCATAACTACATGTTATTCAATCACTGAAGATAATTTATAGAATCTGAAAATCCACCCGTGGTTTGCATTGAATGAGATTTCTGAGTAGGTCTCTCATTTTTTCTTACGAGTTTCCCTACTGAGTTTCATCTTTAATGCATTGGGATAAGTAAATAAGCCATTTCATTTTTATTTCCCATTCCATGAAATGTTTCTCAGGTAACTCGATTAATGTTCAAAACCAATATTTGAGTAGGTGCATAATGTAATTAAAATTTCATAAAACTGCTATAATCATAGTTGCTCAGTAATAAGCAACCTTATTTATCACACAAATGATTTCTTTGAATTTCTAACATGGAGTTTATTTAGCTAATTCAATAATAAAGTAATATATACACATATGTATATAGATGTGTATGCATATAGATGTGTATGTTTATACACACACACACACATGCCCGCACACACATTCCCCTTCCCCCAAGAAAATTTATGTTTTCAAAGGGACACTTCACAACTGGCATTTTCTGCTAACATTTAACTAATATTTTCTTGCAGATTGGTACATAGATGACTTAGGGTAAACACAGAGATGGCTAAATTCCATTTTATCTTCTGAATAAAATGACTTGTCATGTCAGAAAGCTACCAAGTATTATGACATAATATGGAAGTAAATGATATTGCAACATTGAATGATATTGTTTCTCTACAATCCAAATATAACACTCACTGACGCCCAATGTTTTGGTTCTTATGTATAGTGGTGAGTGATATCATGTATATTACATTAGGTATTTTACTGTTGTTTGTGTCTGTGTATCATTGTTGTCTGATCTTTTTTCTTCCTTTAATATTGTTAAGTTTATCATCGATTCTCAAAATTTAATGCAAATGAACATCAAGAGGGAATCTGATAAAAATCCAGAGCCCTGGGCACAGAGATTCTGCATAGTTACAGCTGGAATGGAACCCAGGAATCTGCATTCTTCACAAGCACCACAAGTGACTGAAGCAGATGGTCCAAGAACTACCTTTGATAAACACTGCCTGAGGGGTATGAAATGTCTTTATATTCATTTCTTTGTAATTCTTCTTATATATGTTGGCATGCTCTGTTCATTTAAGACAGGCTGCTTCACAGTCTGCCTCAGAATGTCAAAACAGAGCAAAGTTTAGAATAGTGCTCTCCAACAGAAATATAATGTGAATTGCGTATGTAATTTTAAACTTTATAATAGCTTCATATTAAAAAATTAAAAAGGAATAGGCAAAATTTCCTGCACTCATATGTTCATCACAGCACTATTCACAATAGCAAAGTCATGGAACCAACCTAAGTGACCATCATGATTGATTAAGAAAATGTGGTACATATATACCATGGAATATCATGCAGCCATAAAAAAGAATAAAAGCATGTCCTTTGAGCAACACTGATGGAGCTGAAGGCCATTATCTTAAGTGAATTGAGTAACAGAAAATCAAATATTTCATGTTCTCATTTACAAGTGGGAACTCAACAATAAGTACCTATATAAAGATGGAAATAATAGACAATGGGAACTCCAAAAGTGGGGAGGATGGGAGGGGGCCAAGGGTTGAAAAATTATCTTTTGGGTACAATGTTCTATATTGGGGTGATGGGTACTCTTGAAGTTCAATCCTTATCATTACGTAATATACCCATGTAACAAACATGCAAATGTACCACCCAAACCTAAAATTAAAAAAACCAGCAACAACACATGTACACAAGTGTTCATAGAGGCCGTATTAACAAGTAAAAGGTAAAAACACTGCAGATTTCCACCAACTAATGTAGTATGTCCATATGTTGGAATATTATTCACCCATAAAGAGGAATGAAATACTGATAAGTGCTACAATGTAAAAAATATGAAGCTTAGTGAACAAAGTCAGACACTATGGTCACATATTGTATCCTTAAATTTATATAAAACATTCAGATGATGGAAATTCACAAAGTCAGACACTATGGTCACATATTGTATCCTTAAATTTATATAAAACATTCAGATGATGGAAATTCACAAAGTCAGACACTATGGTCACATATTGTATCCTTAAATTTATATAAAACATTCAGATGATGGAAATTCACAAAGTCAGACACTATGGTCACATATTACATCCTTAAATATATATAAAACATTCAGATGATGGAAATTCACAAAGACAGAAAGCAGACTGATCATTGTTCCAGGCTGGTTGGGATAAGGGGAAGGGGAGTGACTGCTCAATGAAATGCATTTCCCTGTTGCAGCGATGAAAATCTTTCAGACTAGGTAGAGGTGGTGGTTGCAACACTGAAAATGTACTGAATGCCATAGAATTGTATAGTGTCAAGTGGTCAGTTTTACTTAAGGGGATTTTACCTCAATAAATGAAAATGAAAGAAGAGGAAAAAAATAGGTGACTTTAATTTTAATAATACATTTTATTCAACTCTATATATTCAAAATATTATCATTTCAATATGTAATCAAGAGAAAAATATTGAGATACCTTATATTCTTTTTTCCATACTAAGTCTTCAGAATTTGGTCTATAACTTATACTTAGCAGCTCATCTCCATTCAAAACGGCCATATTTCAAGTGATCAATAACTACATGTGGCGAATGGCTATCATACTGAATAGCACAAGGCTATGGGATAACCTTGTATGTATATTTTCTAAAAACCACACCAGTGTGTTCACACACACACACACAAATACATCTCACCATGGCGAAACTAGTGACTTGAATAGCTTCTTAATTTACATGTATCCACCAAAGTCACAGGGAATATTATGATAGCCAGAAGTGCATTGAGCTAAGTGGTGTTGCCATTGTTTGATTACCTGAGATACGTGTGTGGGATGTGAAGCTATTTCCTTGAAAACCCTTTTCTGAGGCCCAAGCGAAATTTTATGAAAGAAGACAGACTCCATGGAAGGGGCTGCGGTTTAGATGTCTCATTAGCTGGCATTAAAATTCTGCAAAAATGTTGATTTTCTAAACAATAGTTGGTAAAATAATTTGGTCTACTATTGGATTTAAACATACTCTACTTACAAAACACTAAGAAAGTTTATATTTTGAAAGGCATTTGGAAAGGCACAGACAAAATTAATTACTATTTGCTGAGTGACAATAACAGTACTAACAAGAACTAACATTATTGAATATATGCCAACCATTCTTCTAAGGATTTTATATACTTTTATATACAACCATTCTTCTAAGGGTTTTAATTCTCACAATAGTCTGATATGATAATTACTATTATTATTCCTATTTCCAGATGGAAAAAAAAAATGGAAGCAAAAGAAACTCTGAGGCCCAGAGAGATGGCATGACCTGTCCGAGGCCACTTTAATGAGTAGTAGAGCCTGGTTTAAAGCTAGGCAGTTGGATTCTGGGGTGAGTAATCCTAACATTTATGTCAGAGTTTCTCAACCTTGAAACTATTGTCACTTAGGGGTGGGTAATTCTCTGTTGTAGGAGCCTATCCCAGCATTGTAGAATGTTTGGCAGAATTCTTGGCCTCTACTAAGTAGACGCCAGTAGGACCTCCATGCAAAGGTGTAAAGCACAACCCAAAAATGTCTCCAGACATTTCTAAATGGCCCCTGGGGAAGAAAATCACTTCTGGCTGAGAACCACTGCTCTATATTAACTGCCTCCCTGTACCATGTACAAAAGTGCACTGAGTGCCTTCTAGTAGGAGATACGACAACAGAAGCAAGAGGAAAGATTGATGAGAGGAAGCGGCCATGAGTCAAGGATTGTAAGTGGCCTCCAGAAGCTGTGAAATGCAAGAAAACCAATTCTCCTTTAGAAACTCCAGAAAAAAAAAAAAAAAAAAAAGAACAAAACAAAACAAAAAAACAGCCCTGTTAACACCTTGACTTTAGCCCAATAAGACTCATTTTGGACTTCAGACCTAAACTCAAAGAAAATACATTTGTTTTGTTTTAAGCCATTAGTTTAAGTTTATGGTCATTTGTTACAGTGGCCCTAGAAAATAAATACAGGGTGTGGCCAAATTTCATCACAGTTCTGTCAGGATTTCTGATTCCTATGTCCACGATTAGGTGACTGCAAACCAGAAACTTTAAGTAACTGGGCTCACGGTCCCAGAGCCAGGAAGGGTGGAACAAAGATTTAAAACTAGGGCCATTTTACTGCAAAATCTGGGTTTTTCCCACCTACCATGAGATGTTTCATTTATTTTCCCAACACTCAGATATAATATAATATTTATTTAATTTTGACTACTTGAAGATGTAGAACATAGATAACACTCTTTTGGAAGGACATCTGGAAACAGACATTTGTTTCTAGGTAGAAAAATACTTGTAAAAAAGTAATGCTAATGGCAATCTTCCTTTTTTTAATTTCAATTGTTAGTGACACCCGAGGAGAGGATTCTGGTGATTTCCACATCAATCTAGAATAGCGATTCTTGGAGATTTGGAGAGAGAAAATAGAACAAATATTCTTTTACTGCAGACCAGTGTCCTTAAGCAGCTGTGTTACCATCGGTGCTAATTATTTTGACTAGCCTATTCATTTTTAAACTTTTGGGAAAATCCATCTGCACAAAATTTATTTGAAAAAAATCTAAGTAACAAAATTTAGCCTTGCAATCAGCACTCTTTTTAGCATTATGATTAAGCAGCAGATTAATCTGACCTATGTGTCCTGTTCGCCAGACAATTAAAATACTGACAAAGGCATGAATAAATCCTTGAATGAAGTAATATCATGTTCAGTAAAAATGTTCTCATTATGCAAAGGTATTTTTATCTGAAGTATGTTTATGATGGCTCTATAACATGATGATTAAGGCTTTGGAGTTGGACAGCTGTAGCTCCAAGTCCTCTATCCCGCAACTACTAGCTGTGTGCTCCTCAGCAACTTACTCAACTACTTTAAGTCAGATGGACATAATTATAGAAGCTGTCTCAGAGGGCTACAGTGAAGATTCCAGAGACAACACAGAAGAAACCATTGAGCACTGTGTCTGCTTACTCTAAATGCCTCCTGATCTTTTTTTTTTTTTTTTTTTTTTTCTGAGACAGAGTCTTGCTCTGTCTCCCAGGCTGGAGTGCAGTGGCGCGATCTTGGCTCACTGCAACCTCTGCTTCTCAGGTTCAAGTGACTCTTCCGCCTCAGCCTTCTGACTAGCTGGGATTACAGGTGCCCGCCACCACGTCCAGCTAAGTTTTATATTTTTAGTAGAGACGGGGTTTCGCCATGTTGGTCAGGCTGGTCTCAAACTCCTGACCTCAGGTGATACACCCGCCTTGGCCTCCCAAAGTGCTGGGATTACATGCGTGAGCGTGAGCCACTACGCCTGGCCCACCTTCTGATCTTTTACAATTTTTTTTTTTTTTTTTTTGCCTGTGTATGGTATTTCCCCTGTGGCCTCTAACTATGCTATTTGGAACCGAATCCATGCCTTCCCTCTTTGCTCCCTGAAAATCTGCCTGTATTTTCTATTTTAATGAATGGTACCTCCACCCCTTTATCCAACTGCCCAAATCCAGTTGTCATGAAAATCTCCTTCCTCTGGTTTCTGATCACCAGTCTCCCACCTTCACTGCAAATCTGAACAATTTCATTATGTTTTACCTCATAGATGGTTATTATACTGATACGGTTTGGATTTGTGTCCCCATCAAATCTCATACTGAATTGTAATCCCCAGTGTTAGAGGTGGGGCCTGGTGGGAGGTGACTGGATCGCTGGAGCTGAGTTCTCTTGAATGGGCTAGCACCATACCTTTGGTGCTGCCCTAGTGATAGTGAGTGAGCGCTTGCGAGATCTGGTTGTTTAAAAGTGTATAGCACCTCTCCACCCACATTGCTCCAGCCATAAAAGATCTGCTTGCTTTCCTTTCACCTTCCACCATGATTGTAAGTTTCCTGAGGCCTCCCCAGAAGCCAACTAGATGCCAGCATCATGCTTCCTGTACAGCCCATAGAATTGTGAACCAATTAAACCACTTTTCTTTATAAATTACCCAGTCTCTGGAATTTCTTTATACTAGTCCACAAATGGACTTATATACTCTGTGCCCATCTTAAATCTGTCCATTCTTTGTGTGAGTTCAGACTTTTGTCATTTCTTCCCAGTCTCCTAAAGTGACTTCCCTGCTTCCAATCTGCCCATCAGTCATCTATTCTCCATGCCCTGCTAGAGTGGTTTTTTTGGTAATATGTGTGTACAGTCATATTGTACTGTATTGTAAAACCCTTGGTTTCAGGCTGGGTGTGATGGCTCATCCCTGCAATCCCAGAATATTGGGAGGCCGTGGTGGGTGGATCACTTGAGGTCAGGAGTTTGAGACCAGCCTGGCCAACATGGTGAAACCCCCAAAAATAAAAAAATACAAAATTAGCCAGGTGTGGTGGCGGGTGCCTGTAGTCCCAGCTACTCGGGAGGCTGAAGCAGGAGAATCACTTGAACCTGGGAGGCAGAGGCTGCAGTGAGCCGAGATTGCACCACTGCACTCCAGCATGGGTGACAGAGTGAGACTCTGTCTACAAAAAAAAAAAAACCTTTCGTTTCCAATAACCTTTAAAAACCTTCCTCTCCAGACTCCTGTCCTGTTAGCATAAGTACCTGCTTATACCTGTTAACAGTGGCTATATAACAGAATGATCCCAGCAGCTTTTAAAAATAGCAATGCTCCAGTCCCTAGGAACTTTCCCAAATGAATTAGAATAGAATCTCTGGGCCAAAGCAGTGTGTGTTTTGTCTTGGCATTTTTTTTTAAATTTATTTTTTTAATTAAAAAGTTTGAAAACATCAACAAAAGGAGAAAGTGGTACAATGAATCTCCGTAAACTTACTGTCAGTATTTGACAATGATCAAGATTGTGCCATACTCGCCAAACTATACCTTTTTTGTTTAAATTTTCTTTTATTTCTTTACTTTTCTGTTATTTTCTTTTCTCTTCTCTTCTTTTCTTTTCTTCCTTTTTCTCTCTGTCTTTCTTCCTCTCTGTTCCTCTTTCCTTCCCTCCTTCTTTCTTTTAAATACATTGAATTAAAAATACATTATTTAAATTAATTTAATCTGTTTTTTTTTACTTTGTTTAATGGGGCTATTAGACATTTTAAAATTATGTATATGGCCTACATTATATTTCTATGGGACAGTGCTGAACTAGACCCTGAACTCCTTCAGGGCAAGAAGGTCTAATTCCCATTGTAATTTCTGTACTTGAAAAAACTGCTTGTTTTATAGTAGACATAATAAATGTAGGGCAAATAGTAGATCCCAAGTTCTAAAACCCAGGTCATAAACTCAGAGCATAATTGGTATATTGTCAGGATTCTCTAATTTTGTATAAAATGTTAGAGATTTTTTAAAAATTCACATTAAACTGATTAAACTGATGATATACGCCACTTGAGGATGACGGCATTAACATTCTCAAATAAATGTATTATCAACAACAACAAAAAGAATAGCTAAGCTGTATATTTTTGGCATAAAATGTATGGAAAAGGTGGAAGATAAATACCACTGTCCACAGAATAAATGATCTGTACTTGGATAAAACTGCTTTAAAAATCAAGCCTTGTGGCCATAAATCTCCTGAAGTTCAAGTGCTAATCAGACTTCTGGAGAGGCTGACTTTCTGGCTTTTGACCTGAAAGGCAAGCAGTGAAAGGGCCAGGTATGAATCATGAAAGCAAAACCCTTGTAGACAGTGAAGATCTGACATAACTTTTTGAAGTATCCAGGGGTGATGAGATTGTCAATGACAAGCACACTCCACAGAACACAGTGTTTTCTCCCTTGTGAAAGCTTTGCTGGCAATGAAAAGGTAACACCCAGGATAAGGTGGAAACACATTCTCCTGTTTCTAGTACTTGTACTTTAAATATCTATTTTTTTTTATATGTACACACACACACCTACTATATAGATGTGTGTGTGTGTGTGTGTGTGTGTGTGTGTGTGTGTAACACACAGGGATCAAACAGAAAGCCCTCTCTCGGGATATTTGAATGAAGAGAACCCTCTTTGAAACAGCCAGAGGCAAAATAAATCTCCATTTCTTATTTATCACCTGTCTACCTCGTCATACTAGTACAGAATAATCTTTCTTTGGACCTTGGTGATGCTTCAGAACCAAGCTCTAGAAAATGAGTACTGGCTTTGGTTAAGTGAAAGATGAAAATGCACTGTTTTGGGCCACTCTAGTTATTTAGAGGCCTTGTCAGTCTGAAGCACATGAAGGTTTGAAGGTCTTTTCCCCTTATTTTCCTTACTTCTGTGGCTAAGAGTGTTTAAACCCCATTGTCTTATAAGCTCATGAATGTACTACTTGAAACATAAAGTTTCACCCTACTGCACCTTTGTCAATATTGTATTATGTTGCCATTAACTGAAAAGGATAGCTACACTTTATATATGAATCGCTATATAAGCTACATAAAAAGAGCTATGCTTTATATAAATTTTCATTAAAACAACTCAAAAAACCCTAAGATATGGACTGTAGTTGAAAAATACATAAATAATTTCATTCCCACACTGCTCTTTCAAGAAAACCAAGAAATAACATTTTATTTTACAATACAGTTTAATTATTCAGGATATACAGTTGTGGTCACCTAGATGTTTCTCCACCTATACTCCCATTATCCAGTTTATCTTAAGTTTACTCTGTAGTGGCATGAAATTGAACTGGCCACCACTGGAATTTGTGTTGCTGATTCCACAGGGAACTTGAAAGTCACATTTTTAAGTATAAGAGTGTGCAGGAAATCAATAAAGGAACCAAATTCCACTAATTGCCCATACTATTTTATTAAGCAAAAAAAATCAGACCTGGATCATCTGAAAATACTCTAACATAATTTACTTTATGACACACCTGGATTGTGACTTTCATCCCCTCGATTTTCAGTTTAGTCTAGTGATTATAAATTTGAGTAATAAGACTCACAGTTCATTTATAGGTAAGAAAAAATATGCTAATGGTTTTAGAAAGAGCTCATACTTATTCAGTGCTTTTATAACAGGAATTGTGTTAAATTCTTGAATGAATCATACCATTTAAACTTCACTGCTATCTAAGGAAGTATATAATGTTGTTATCATGCACCAATTCTTTTTTTTTTTTTTTTCACAAAGAAGGAACTGAAGCTAAGACAGATTAAGTAACTTGCCAAAGTTGTATTTTACTATGCAGTAGATCCACAATCTCATCTTGATGAATAATTTTTAAGGATGTGTTCTCTTAACCACTACCCCCATTGAACTCTGCATATCTTTGGTCTTGAATAGTCAAAACAGAGGGATAAGGAAGCAAACCACTATAGGAACGTGTCCTGTTGTTTCAGTATTTTCTGATCAATTAAATTGGTCAGATTTAACTACTCTCCTTTCCAAGTAAAAGACTATATAACCAAGTTAACCTCAAGAAGTTTGACAGCAAGATGATAGTAAGGAAGGAAAATATGTCCTTCCTGACCATGAATAAATAGAAGAAAACAAAGTCATTATTCATAGTCTATCTTTGCACAGAAGGTATTTGGTTATGCTTTAAAATTAGCCTTAGCTTTTTATTTGTTTTGTTTATTATGAGACTCAATGAAATTCTCTCCTCGTCTCCACAGACAGGCTAAGATATTGTATGACTTAGCAGCAAAGTTACTTAATTCTAGGCTGTCTTAGTGAGAGAGTTCACTTCTCATGTACTTTAGAAACATTAATCTATTTCGTACAGCACATCACATAAAACAGGCTGTGGACAGAATATTTTGCTCCAGGTGAAGGTGTTCAAATCCTCAGCTGAATATACAGTAAACAGAACATTATACAGAAAACTACTAGGGGAACATATAGTCTTTGTCAACAGTGAAATCTCTGAACTGTATGCCATCATTAGCAATGGGCTCACTAGATTCAAATACGGAACTACACATGTTCGCATAAGCTCTGGTGACTCAAACATTTGCCCTAGTTAGGACAGTTAACAGTGTCTGTCTTCTATTTAAAGAAAAGTTGAGGGGGTACCTGATGTCTAAAATAATTGACTTTCTTATGAGGAGGAACAATATGCCTGCCTAAAGCTGGGAATCTTATCATTTCAATGAGTCAGATCATTACATTTGAATTATAGCCCATAACAATTCACTAGGCTAAAATTATGGAAAGCTGATCTCTTGCCAATAGAATTAAACCCAGACTACTTTGTTTTCAGCTAGGATAGTCAAACATATGTGTCACACAGCAGCCTTCCCTGGTGCAATGAAGATGCAAATTGAAAGCTACAAGTTATAGCCCTAAGCAATTTTTACCCATATATATGGGAAAATACAAATTATTAATATGTAATTCACTTGAGACTTCTGACATTTTTCCTGCCTAGGGAGACGTTAGAACATTATGGGGGCACATTACCTTTAATCCATATACAAAACTGTCCTTGGTGGCCAAGAAGACTATTTGTCTATTTCTAGCATATTCTTTTTTCTCCCTTAGATAAATGGTTTATGTGTGGAGCATGTTTAACCAGCTGCTTGTTTGTCTTTCAACCCTAGAACTCTATGTGGTTTGTTGTATCTAGTCTCCAAAAATAGCCTGCAATAATCCATGTCTTCCCTATCTAGGCCCCTTTCACACTGCATCTGGGCTCATCTGTGTGACCAAAAGAATGCAATGGAAATGACACTGTGTGACTATTGAGACTAGGTTACTGGAATCACTAAGGCTTCCACCTTGCTCTATTGGAATGCTTGCTGGCAGTCAGTCACTATGTAACAAGTTCAACTACTCTGATATCTACATGCTGTGAAGATGCCCAAGATACCCACACGATGAGGCTATGCAAAGAATAAGAGAAAGAGTAAGAGATGACTGGCAGCCTTCAACTGGTCCAGTCATCACAGCCGAGAGGACAAACATGTGAGTAAGGAGCCATCTCGCCCATTTCAGTCCCCAAAGACAGTATGTGGAGAAGATCCAAGGAACTCAGCCAACAGCCAGAAAGAAGCCCTAGAAACATTACCTCAAATGAGCCATTCTGCCCATCCCCAGACATTCAAGCCACCCTGGCTGAGGCCTCAGACATCAGGAAGTAAAGACAAGTCTTCACAGCTGTACTATGCCCAAATTCCAGGCACAGAGAACCACGAGCGTAATAATATGGTTGTTGTCTTATGCCACAAAGTTTTGGGATAGTTTGTTACACAGCAATAGATTACTAGATTAGGCTTTCATCTCTGCACTAAATACTGGTAAATGTGGACTTATGCTACAATTTAAGGCACAATGTGGAATCTATTCTGCTTGGACTTCTCCATTTCAAGGCAAGAACAGTTTTACATACAACTTTTATCAGGAAACTACTTCTTATAACCAACTCAAATTTTTCATGCTACAAATAGATTCATTCTTTTTATTTCTCTTCTTCTATTCCCAGGAATAAAAAGAATATGTAGTTGCAGACTTTTACAAAATAACACACTTTATATTTAAAGGTCATTCTCAAATCATCATCCACATTTCTCTACACTAGGATTAAAAAAAAATAGAAAAGACTTTGGAGTTAAGGAGACCTCTGACCTCTATTTGAATTTCTGCTCCACTGCTTAAAACTATGGCCTTAAGTGAGTTTGTAAATCTCAATGATCTTCAGCGCCTGCCCTTATAAAATGTGGGTAATGATGCCTAACTTATGTGTTTGTTGGGAGGGTTAAAATGAGACAAAGTAGGTAAAATGCACAGTAGCACTGTGCTGTGTGTAATATTTGTGTAATAAATGATAACCTTTTAAATATGTTGGCTTTTACATCTTTGTTTCTCTACTTCAAACTCTTTTCATGTTTTTCACATGCCTCTTAAAGTAATCCAAACTGGCCACTGTGATGTAATAATACGTTAATGAGCTTAATGTAGCCATTTCACAGTACATATACATTTCAAAATATCATGTATATGATAAATGCATACAATTTTTTGGTGTCAATTAAAAAGTAAATTAACTTAAAACAACCTAGACATCATAACTTAACTAATGTGACTCAAGATCTGAGAAGGTCAACTCAGAAGGAAAAGTATAGGTATCCTTACTCTACCTTTTGGGTAATTTGTTACCAAAAAAAAAAAAAAAAGAAAAGAAAGAAAAAAGATAAAAGAAATCAATCACTCTAATGTATCAATTAACCGAAGTCAAAGAAGGTATTTATATTTAAGAATAAAAGCTGTTATCCTGAACCCTGAATTCAAAAGAAACTGGTATCAATTGCTTCCTTTTTAATGAATACAGGGTTGAAAGAAAAATCGAAGTCAGGTTCAGGATGTACAATAATGCTTTTTTTCCCCCTAAATCCATAATAGAATTTGAAGGGAAAAAAAGCATTTGGTTTCCTTTTCCTTAGCATAAAATGTTTGTTAAAACACCATAAACATGGTGGCTTTGATGGAGGAGAAAACGCAGACGATTGTAATAGCTCTGTGCAGGCTGCGTGTTGCCACTCCTGAATGTCCTCGGCATGTGACAGAGGGGCCACCAGGCACATACCACTCTTTTTGGCACCAGCAGCCACAGAGCTGGGAATTGCCATTAGTGGCATTTTCTCAGAATACAAAGGAGAGCCATACATACTGTATATCAAATGTATAATAAAGAGGGTGTATGAATGGGGATAATTAACATCCAAAGAACCATCATAACTTAGGAGCTCACAGACCCCGTAATTTAGAAAGTTGCCAGTAGACTAATCAGCAATGCAGAAAGTAGAAAATGAAATGAGGCCTCGGGCACACTGCTATTGCACTGCACAACATCACTTTGTGTGGATTCACAAGCTACACCATTCCATTCCATTCCACATCCATTCCATTCCACATCCAAGGATGTGGATTTGAAGCTACATCACTTTATACACAAATAAGAAGCTGAATAATAAGTAAGGAGGATAGATCATGAGTAATAAATTAGCCTTGCTCTGTAATAAATAGATGCTAAATAAGGGAGCTGAGTTTAAATAACTTTGACACATATCCAATACTGACAGTAATTGTGTAAAGTACATGTTAACAGCCTTACCTTCCAGACTAGCACAGCTGCCACTGACCATTCCACCATGGGTTATTTAAACCAATCTTCTATCTGAATAGCGAAAACATATTTTATTGCCTTAATCAAAACTGAGATTGGTTTCTTTGGGTAAGTTATACAAAAAGAGCAAATTAAGACTCAAATTCTGGAAATTTGTCTGCTAGGAGAAGTATTATGTCTGCTAAGACTGGGGAAAGTGGCTATTGATTGTTTAAAAAATAGACAGGTACCTAGAATGGTAGTTAAATTTTTTTTTTTTGCTTTATTTTTCTGTAACTGAATGAAAGTAGTAACCTCTCCAAGGGATTTTGGTGACCTGTAAGATTGGGATTTTGTAATATGAGATTCAAAGTTTTACCCAGTCACCGAATCATCTGTCACTCAGCAGGTGGATATGAGGAGGAAACAGCTGCCCTTTTCCCCGAACAATTACTGCCTTTCTATGATTCTATGTGAAATTTGTTAACATTTTAGATTCATTCTACCCCTTAGGAGAGTATTACAAATGATAATGCTACTACCATTGAAAATAATTAAGTGCATCTGTAGCCTGCAATTGTGTTTGCATAAAGGCAAAATGAAAACACAACAAAAAAGACACTTCTGGTACACAGAACAGTTAATGTGAGAGGCTGTTCAAAAGGAAAACTAGTTCTAGTCATGTCTTTTAGCATGATGTCTTTTCTTTGTTTTTCTTTGCATCTGTCTGGTCTGTCATAATAAGAAGATGTTTATGGCTGAATTGTTCACCAGTCCCCAGTCAAGAGTTATCACAGTTTGGATAGTTGGGGTCTTTCTTTCCATATTTGTATATTCATTATAAGAGGTGGTATTGAATGGTGTCTGTGAGTCTTGTCTGTTTCATAGCCATCAACTATTATGGATGTTACAGAATTATGCATAATATTATAGAATACAAATTGATTAGAGGCTTAGCCTAAAGGAACGTAAACAGGAGGAGTTTTGGAATGAGAACCTAAAAAAGAGTCCAGTTGCTTTTCCATGGGAAAATATGTTAGCATGGCTGTATTCACAGCTTTACAAAAATTATATGCATTTTAGCCATATGTATCTTTATGTAAATTTAGATTTTGCTACCCAGGAGACATCTGACAATGTCTAGAGACATTTTTATTTGGCATAGCTGGGGGGAAGAGGAATAAGGATGTTACTGGTATCTGGTGGGTAGAAACTAGGAACATAGCTGAACACATTACAATGCACAGGGAATCCCCCCACAATTATCTCCCCCAAAATGACAACAGTGCCAAGTTTGAGAAATCCCGATTTAGATATGTAGTATAATTATTTAATATGAAGAAGGAACAACTGTCCTTTTCTTACATAATCTTAAGTCCTCAAGTACCAAATTCAACAGCAGATAGCTCACTCCATATGCTTATTTGAATCTTGCTATTTATGTTTGTTTCCGTTGTTAAGAGGATACATAGCCTTTTGTGACACTCTGCAACCACTAGAGAGAGTTCCAGGCTTTTCCAGGGTAGCCTCCCCAACGAGATAGAATCAAGGAGGCATTTGTTTATTGGGCCAAGATGCTAAGGATGAAATTTCACATTCATCAAATAAAAGTTAATACTCTATCTCTTTCCCACACCTTTTCACTATCACGACCCTCTTTCTTCTTCATTTTTTTCTTTTTCTTTTTCTTGATCCCTCTGATGTGATTCAATATGCAAGTTCAAAATATTTTCTTAGTCCAATTGTATTCATTTGAATTCTATGTAACAAATATCTATTGAGTATTTTTATATCCCTCAAGGAAGATTTTTTTTTTCTCCCACAGGCACTTAGCATATTGATACGGACAGGAGACAGGGAAATACTGGTTAGAAGAGGGCAGTTCCCCAGCAAAGGCTCCACCCTCAAGCTTGGAAACCTGTGGCCCTAAATGGGTACAGGCATTCCTGTTTTCGCACCCCAAGCCTGGAAACCTGGTAATGTAAATGGCTCTAAATGGAAACAGGCATTCCTGTTTTCACACCCAAATGCTGCCTTTTGGCCCACCATGCCCCTCTATCCTGTACCCATATAAACCCCAAGCCCCAGGCTCCATGAGCCGACAAGCAGAAGAGCAGAGGAACAGTAGAGCAGTGCAACAGAGAAGGAGAGAAGAGGAGCATCTGAATATTGAGAGGAATTCGGCTGGGGAAGTTCAGAGAGATCGGCCACAGGATGGCTGAAATCCAGGGGAAGATCATCTTCCTACTCCATCCCCTTTCTAGCTCCCCATCCATCCAGCTGAGAGCCACCTCCACCTGGCAATAAAATCCCCTACATTTACTATCCTCCATTTTGTCTGTGTGACCTGATTCTTCCTGTATGTCAGACAAGAACCTGGGTGCCAAGAGGGCACTGAGCTGGTTAACACTTAAGCCGTCAGCAGACAGCAGAGATAAAGGAGCACTGTAAGATGCCCACTGGGGCTTCAGGAGTCACAGGCATCCACTTCTAGACACTACTGTGGGGCCGGAGCCAAAAAGCACTTGGCCCGACTCCCGCACCTGTCTGTCTGTATGTTCATCCTCCCGTAAGAGTTTGACCCACACCCCTGCCACAGGTCCTGTAAGGGGGGTCAGGAAACTCTTCAGTTTCAGCATGCCTAGAGTGACTTTTTAAAAATGCAAATAGGTGGAGAGCTAGGGTTTTCTGGCAGGACTGATAGAGACAACTGATGAGCAGAAGTTCAGTGTTAGCAAAAGGCAGAGCATCCTTGGAGAATGGCTTATGGTCCTGTATTTGCACTGTGGGCTGCATTGGAAACTATTGATAATTAAAGACCACAAGAGTCTTTAACTATAGTTGGCTATAGAACATGGAGGGACCTAAGGCTAATGAAAGAATTTCTGCTTTGTTAGGTGAGAAGAAAAAAAATCTTGAAGATTTCAGAGCAAGGGATTGCCACAAGCACTTAGGCATGTAAGGAAGATTGGTATAGGTAGCCCTGGACAGAATGCAGTGGAAAGCAGAGAAAATTGACATGGGGGACTAGTGAGGGAATAGGAGCTTGAACTAGGGGGCTGGCACTGGGGAAGACGAAGGAGGATTAGTAAGTGAGACTGTGAAAACGTTGTTAGAATGGCCTTGGACTACATACAGAGTGTGAAAAACAAGACTGATTGAATTAGAGGTGATTCAAGGCTTCTTAGAGGATGGTGGACTCATTAAAAGAAATCCAAATTCAGAAAGAAGAGCAGTATAGGGGAAATAGAATGAGTTCAGTTTTGAACCTGTTAAACTTGAGATATTAGGGAAACCTTCAAGTAGACATTTCTATTGTGCAATTCAGAATATTAGAATGAAGCTAAAGAGAGGTTAGAAATGAAGATGTAATTTAGGGTAAGGTGAGAGTCATTTATATGGTGATGATAGTTAAAGCCACAGAAACTGGATGAGACTACAGAGGGAAAGAAGGGAGAGAAAAGGAAACAGGACCTTGGGGGATGCTCTCATTTGAAGGCATGAAAATAGAATAGAAACAAGTGAAAAAGATAGAGAAAAAAGAATTAGAGTGATTGCTGAAGAATGAGGATATAACTGTGAGATAAAAACCAAGCAAAGATTAGACTTGAAGAAATTAGGGGGTCGTTAAAACTAAGGAAGGGTCAAGGAGGACAAAGGCTAAGGGAAGGTCGGTGGGTTGATGAGTAGGAAGTTACCAGGGACCACAGAGGAAACATTAACTGTAGATTATTATGGGAGAGGCTGGATTGTAAAATCTGTAGAGAGAGATGAGGGAGGGTGTAAATGCTGAAAAAGGAAACAGAGGAGAGAAAGACAGGAAGTTTGTGGAGTGAGTGCGTGTCTACGCGAGAGGCTTCTAAGCAAGTCTACGCAGCAAGAAAAGAGCCCAAGTCACTGACTCTTAATAATAAGCTACATCTTCTTTGGCCTTCTGTTTTCCCTTTTATTCCTGGCCTGTGGTCATGAGAAACAAAATTTGAACATGAAAAACAGAAATGAGATGAAACAGGAACAAGTGCAGCAAAGTTAAACATGGACACAGGAATATCAGCATTTTCGGTTTATGCTATAAAAAATAAGGCAAGAACAATATATAACTTCATATTTTTTTGGTATCATTTCTAAACTCCCAGGTTCATTAATCAAAGCATTCATTAATGCTTCCTTTCAGAGGCCCGTTTCCTAAGATTCTGATGCTCTTTACTCCAAATAAATGTCTAAAGTATCTGATGTGTCTGACATTTTTATGAAAGGAGGCAGGCCAAAGAAAACTTTATAATTTTGAAGGAGATGTAGGAACATGGTGTAATGTGGTAAGACCCACATTAGTGAACCATGTCCTAATTTACTGAATGAAGCTGTCAGCAGTGCCACAGAAGCAGTGTTTTTTATAGATTGAAAAGGCACTTGGCTAGGATTGCCATAGAGGTGCCTAATCCTATCCTTCCTTAACAACGGACTGCATTAGGTCTTTCTTGTGCTGCTATAAAGAAATATCTGAGACTGGGTAATTTATAAAGCAAAGGGGTTTAATGGCTCATGGCTCTGCAGGCTGCACAGACATGGCACCAACATGTGCTTAGCTTCTGGTCAGGTCTCAGGGAGTTTACAGTCATGACAAGGCAAGAGCAGGGGCAAGAGAGAGAGGGAGGAGGTACTGACTTTTTAGACAACCAGATCTCACATGAACTAACTGACCAAGAACTCACTCGTCACCAAGGGGATGGTGCTACGCCATTCATGAAGGATCTGTCCCATGATCCAATCACCACCCACCAGGTTCCACCTCCCACACTGGGAATCACACTTCAGCTTGAGATTTGGATGGGATATATATCCAAACCATATCACAGACCACTGAGTGTGTATACTTCAGGATTCATGAAGACAGACACTTTCTTTTACTAATTGGTGGGAAATGGACCATAACTTGGAGCAGTTGAAAGATGGTACCTCTCCCAATGAAGATCTTGAAATAGATATGTGTGGTGGGAACATCTGCTGGATCAGGTTAATGGAGATGGTGTCCAGATTCTCCAGATGTTCGCAGGGGCTAGAGTCCCTTCCTAAGCCCTGTTGACAGAGCTGAACACTACAGACATCCAAAAACTGATGGTGTTGTTTCTGAGAGGGCCATCGGTTGGTACAACATGGATGTGTATGAGATGAGTAACTTCCAAACTGTGTTTTAGCACTGGAACTCTCTTATCAGCTAAACTTTAATGTGGGACATTGGAGAATACAAGTCGAGGCACGTTTTAATGTCCAGGAGAATAAAGAGGATCCATGTCCCACTTTTTTTTTTTAACCTTCTTTTAATTGCTAGCAGCGACTTTGAGTTAGCTCTGAAGGAGCTTTAAAACTGCCCTCTTTGCTCATCCCTAAGAAACTAATCAAATCCTGAACAAAATAGTGCTTGAATATTCCCAATAATAATAGAAGATTGCCTGGCACATGGGTCAGTCAAGGGTAATCTTAAGTCCTTTAAAATATTTGATAAATAAATCTTGAAGTCATGCTACATATTAGGTGCTGAAAATACACTGATAAAAAATAAGACAAAATACCCACCACCATCCTATGAACTTATGATGGCCTATCAGCTATACTAAAGTCATCTTGTCGATCTCCAAGTACATCATGAGTTAGATGTGATTTTTTTTTTTTTTTGACGGAGTCTCTCTATGTCACCCAGGATGAAGTCCAGTGGCATGATCTCAGCTCACCGCAACCTCTGCCTCCCGGGTTCAAGTGATTTTTCTGCCTCAGCCTCCCGAGTAGCTGGGGTTACAGGCATGTGCCACCACACCTGGCTAATTTTTCTATTTTTAGTAGAGACAGGGTTTCACCGTATTGGCCAGGCTAGTCTCGAACTCCTGAGCTTGTGATCCGCCCACCTCAGCCTCCCAAAGTGCTGGGATTACAGGCGTGAGCCACCGCAGCTGGCCGAATATTTTTGTTTTTTAACTGCTGAGAAATTTGACACTTACGCAGATTTATGATGTGACATGTCCCAGGGTTCTCATGTGGCTGGGGTCGCACCCACACCTTTCATTCCAAAGCCAGGCTCATAACCATGCTTCTCAAGGTTTCACTGTGTAGGTCTGAAGCAAAGTCTAATCACAAGGTCATGGAGTCAGAACTAACAATTCTTTCAGGTTCTCTTTGCTCCAAATGCCCTCAGGCATGAACAGAGCTCCCCATCCCATCATTTCTTCACTAAACTCAGCACTGTCTCTTCAAAATGGCACCTTAGGAGACAAGGTCAAGGTGAATTCTCTTTACCAGCTTATATTAGATTTCATGGTGCATCCAAAAGACTTATAATTCATGAAAATAGAACTCCATACAATGTTTTTTTGTGTGTGGCAGGATTTGAAACTTGAAAAAAAACAGTGCTGGGTTTTTCCACGCTGTGGCTGCTCTATGTTGCTTTGTAGATAGTCTCTAACTTTTTTCTTTTCAATTTCTGACTAAGTTTTCATAAGAGTGAATGAGAAATAAGAAGAAAAATTGGCCTCACTTAAAAATGAGCTGACTATTCCCCTGCCATGACTTGTTTTTGAATATTAAAAAACTAATAAAATTAAAATAGTCTTTGGAAGAAGACTCAGTACAAAGCCTTATTCTGCTTTGACCAAAAAGAGTCCTCTGAGCTGGAAATAAAGCATTTCTCATGTCAAACACACACATTTGTTTATGAAAGAGATGTCTTGTTAACTTATTATGGAAGAAAATAATTAGAAAAACTACAAGGAAAGCGAATTTGGGGCAAAAAGGGAGCTTATGATACACATAAAGCAGCAACTAGTTTATGGTTAGGATGGCTAAGATGGAAATACCTTCAAAATCACTAATATTCTGTTTTAGGATTTATTTCTCACTGAGGTCACAGAGAGCTGTCTCTTTTATTTTGCAACAAAATAATAATAATAAAATAAACCCACCCCTCCCCTCCCCCATGCCACAAAGAAATCCTCATTGCAGTTTTATCATCCTTCAAAAGACAACACTGCTTGTTTTTCAGAGTGCTAGGTCAATAGAACAACACAGTTTCGTATTAACTTAAAGTGCATTTCACAGCTTATTTCTGATTTTATGGCACCTCTTCTAGTTTTTGCCAGCAGAAAAAAAATCTGCTTTCATAGTGGAAGTCTGACAAGTTATTTCAACTATATTAACAGCAGGCTACAGGCAGTTGCTCTTTTGTGCTTTCTGGCATTCCTACAGTACCAATGAGAAATAAGGGGTTAAAATGTTGGAGTTTGGGGGATAACACTGGAATTACACTTACTGTCAGTTTCCTCTTGAGAAAGACATCCGAAGGAAAGTTTCTGCCAAATACAAACTCTTGGCAATGTAGTTCCAGTTCTGTGATGAAAAAAGGTGGCCACTACTACCCTTAACACCAAGCCACCAACCAAAAAGCAGCAAGAAGTGCCGATTTATGCCTGTAACAAACAGTCTTACATTTGTCATAGTCCAAGTTCTCCAGGAAGCAGAGCCTGAAGCATGGATCAAGGTGCTAACGTTTTATTTCAGAGATACAAGCCCGAAGCAAGGCGACTGAGGAATCAAGGAGAAATGAGACACAGAAACAAGCAAAGAATGGGATATGACACATCACTGCACTGGCTACTGTGTCAAAGTGAGCCACCAAGAAACTGAGCAGGTCCCTCTGAAGGCTGCCTACTCCCGTGATGCTGGGCTTCTAGGGAAGGACTCCCAGGGAAAACACTTCCTGGAGAGGTCCACAGAAGACAGCAGTGAGACGGCATCTTGGCCTGGCTTCCTGTAGTCACCCATGTCATGGCTCACCTAAGGGGCGCTCTTTTCCCGGCACTTCCAGGACACTTCTAGCTCCTCTGCAGCCACTCACAAAGCTAAATCCAATCTGCGCAGTGAGGTCTTCCATTCAAATTCAGAAAAGGAGAGAGGCATGGCTTAACTGGGGGGCAGCCAAGAGAAAAATAAGAGGGTGGTCAAGGGAACCTCAGAAAGTGCACCATGGGGTACAATTCAACTCTTAGATTCAGGTCAAAGAGGTGGTTCTGAGATTTCCAACAGACAAAACAGGAAGAAACATTATGAGCAATAGGGTTCATGATATTCATTAAATAAGATCCAGCTGGTTGCTCAGAATACAGCCATTCCTGATACTGAGTCACAGAGAATTTTTTCCAGTGGAACACTGCCACTATGTAAGCATAAATAGTGTTCTCATTCATAGTAAATAAAATAATGAGTTTCATTGCACTGTTTTTCAACCCTTCAGTTTTAGATAATGATTTGCTGACAAAGCATGTTTTGGTAAATGGCACAGGGGGGCTGGCAAGGCAGTGGAGGTGTGATAAATGCTGACGTGTACAGGGAAAAGAGTACCTATCATGGCCTTCAGGCAGTGTCCCACAATATTCATTCTCTCAAAGGCACTTTGCTACATTTACAGCATCATTTATGCTCTGGGTGAGTTTCATAACTTCTTTGGGGATGTTAGTATGTACTACATAGGGTTATCACAAGAATTAATTAACAAAATAACTTATAGAAAATTCTAGTGACATAAGATCTGAAGGTCAATAAATGACAGCTAATGACTCTTCACTAGTTTGGCAGAGAAAGAGAGACAACAGCCCAGGGAAATTCCAAGACTGAAAGCACGGGAGGCTAAGAAAATATAGAGCACCTTTAACAACATCATCAGGAGGGGCTGCATTGAAAGGGAAGATTATTTCAGTTTGTGACATGCTGAGTTTGGGAGATCAAAAAGAGATTTATGTGAAAATGTCCAATACTGAGAATATGCTTGGAAATTGAGGTTAGGGGATCCAGGTTCTTTGTGGTGAAAAAGCGTCTTGAAAATTTCAAATTCTTGAATTATTAGCACATTGCTTCAGTATAGGGTGAACACAGCTGACTTTCTCTACTGAGTTACAGAATTTCTCCTCTAATCTCATACATTCTCTCAGTCCTTAATTTTTTTCTCTTATCTGACTTTCCCAGCATTGGGTGTTTACTCATTTACATCCCATTTATTTCCTCCTCTCTTGGCCAACTCTACTCTTCCTGCTGTTTATTAGTTAAGTAGAATTAACAAAGGAAAGGCCTGCTCCTAATTAGCAGATGTTATAAAATGGCATTCTAATAACACAGAGGTCAGTGCTTTATTTGGGAATAAGACCGATGAGAAAATTTCAAATAAATTTGGGTCTTTAACTTCAATGGATCCAATAAAAACTTGGTGAATAGCTACCACAGAGTGTAGCAAGAATAAAATTAGTTAAAAGAGCAATGCCGTTTCTGTTCTTCAGAAGTTTAAGGTGGCACATATACACTATGGAATACTATGCAGCCATAAAAAATGATGAGTTAATGTCCTTTGTAGGGACATGGATGAAGCTGGAAACCATCATTCTCAGCAAACTATCGCAAGGACAAAAAAACCAAACACCGCATGTTCTCACTTATAGGCGGCAATTGAACAATGAGAACACATGGACACAGGAAGGGGAACATCACACACCGGGGCCTGTTGTGGGGTGGGGAGAGGGGGGAGGGATAGCATTAGGAGATATACCTAATGTTAAATGACGAGTTGATGGGTGCAGCACACCAACATGGCACATGTATACATATGTAACTAACCTGCACGTTGTGCACATGTACCCTAAAACTTAAAGTATAATAAAAAAAAGGAGCTTATGAGAAAGGATACAAATTTTACTAAAGGTATAGATCAATAGAATAAAACAGTGAAATTAAGTGTAAAACTGAACACAGCCAAATGGTATTCATAGAATGCAGAAGAAAATCTAGAAATGGAAGGTGTGGGGAGCTTAAAGTAGAAAACTGAGAAACAGTGGAGTGAATCCTGTCAGCAGCCAACTAAGTTTTTGTCTCTTCTACCTGGGAGGATGGGGCAGGGTGCTCAGTCCATACTTAAAACATCTTGAAGCTTCAAAATGAATGTTAATCCTTCGATAGTGAATCATCTGAATGACCAGCGGTTGTTGCCATCACGCTCCTTTACCAGTGTAAAAATAATAACTCTACCTTATACATTCCAAAAAAACGATGAAAGAAAAACAGAGGAAAGAAAAAAATGCACAATAGTTTAATTCCCACATGAAATTTTGTTAAAGAGGAAATACTGGAAACCTTCAGTAACAGAAATTGGAGTTCCAATTTCCAGACAAAAAGCAAATGCTATGAGAGAAAATGGCTAAATTTAAAGATGGATTTCCAAAAACATTATAGAAAACAAAACAAAACAAAACAAAAAACCAACATTGTGAGAGTGAAGCTGTTCTCAAATTGGTCCAGGATTTGCAAAGGATGTGTTTCTCTTGCTGTATTTTGCATAGAAGTGACCACCAACATCCTTTCTCAGGTGAAGCTAGTCTTTTTCCTTGAGGGGCATAATAAAGCCAAGGCCTCTGTGCAAAGGGAGTGAGACCAAGGGCTGTTCAACAAACACCATCTTCCGGCACATTCCTCGCCTTTGGCCTTTTCAACAGAGCAGAGACATACAGCAGACATACAGCAGGATAACTGAAACATGTAAAAAGAGATTCTTAATCATGTTTCAATTCATTCTCTATGTAGGTTGAATAGTGTCCCCCAAAATGATATGTCCGAGTCCTAACCCCTGACATCTGTGAACATGACTTTACTTAGACAGAAGGTCTTTGCTGAAGTCCATAAATTAAGGATCTCAGAATGAGGTCATATTGAAATAGTGTGGGCTCTAAATACAATAACTGGTGTCTTTATAGGAGAAAGGAGAAGAAGAATCGACACAGAGACACATGGGAAAGAAGGTTCTGTGAGGACTGAGGTAGAGACTAAAGTGATACAACTACAAAGCCAAGGAAAGACAAGGATAACCCAGTCACTGGCAGGTAGGGACTTAGATTCTCTTTCAGTGCCTCCAGAAGCAAACAGCCCTTTATTTCAGACTTCTGGCCTCTAGAACTGCAGGAGAATAGAATTTGTCTTGTTTTGTTTTGTTTTGTTTTTTTTGAGACGGAGTCTCTATCTGTCGCCCAGGCTGGAGTGCAGTGGCGCAATCTCGGCTCACTGCAAGCTCTGCCTCCTGGGTTCACGCCATTCTCCTGCCTCAGCCTCCCGAGTAGCTGGGACTACAGGCGCCCGCCACCACACCAGGCTAATTTTTTGTATTTTTAGTAGAGATGGGGTTTCACCGTGTTAGCCAGGATGGTCTCGATCTCCTGACCTTGTGATCCGCCCGCCTTGGCCTCCCAAATTGCTGGGATTACAGGCGTGAGCCACTGCACCCGGCCGAATTTGTCTTGTTTTGAGCCACCCAATTTGTGATAACTTGGTACAGCCGCTGTAGGAAATTAATACACCCTATCATGAACAAGAATTAAAAATATGTTTTTGGAGAAAACAGAAAAGGCCATTAATTGTATTTTATCTTCTGGAATCATGAGAGTATTTAGAGCTGGAAAGAAAGTAATTTTGAAAGAAGCCAATGTGTAAATGCTTGGATATAAACATTCCAAGCAAAACATCACTAGTTTGAACTAATTGGAGGAAAAGTGCTTCTGATATGGTAAAGAATAATGGTAGAATATTTTCATATACCCATATATTTTCAGAATGAGGCTTAATGCAAGCCTAAGAATGGATCCCATTGTAATTAACAAACAAATCATTCACGGGCTGTCTCTGCACTACAGGATAAAGCTCTCATGCTTAGTGTCACAGGCTAAGTTCTAGTCTCTGTCATCTGGATGATGCTTCTCTTCCTGCAGTATCTCCCATCACTCCCTCAATTGCTCTCTGCACTCAGCTGTATGAAATCACTTGTACATTACACTTCACACCACTATGCCTTTCTGCATACTGTTCTCATTTGACCCAAACCTATTAGTTAATATCAGTAACCACTTATATCGCTTCTACCAGTAACCAACCAGTTAATAAGCTAGACATTTACTCCATTAACTTACAAACTTCTCATTGAATTTTTATAACAACACTGAAAGATACACATTATCACTTCCATTTTACAAGTGGGGAAACAGTCATAATGGTTAAGCAATACGCCCAAGGTCAAACGGTTAGTAAATCTTGATCCGAATCTAGAACTTTGTGATAACTAAGCCCATGTCTGCCCTTTCCTTTTTTGGTTGAGCTGCAAGGCATCCTTCAAGCCTTAGTAGGAAGTTTTCCCAACACTGCCATGCAGTGCTTCCAGGCTGCTATTGTCCCTGTTTATATCTCAATATCATGCCTCACATCCTTGTAATTATGACTACATATCCTTGTGATTGACCAAGGAAAAAGATTTAAGGAAATACACACACACACACACACACACACACACACAGTCAATTATCTTTATTCATGGTAGTTACGTTCTATAAAGTTTCTGTGGACACTGAATCAGTGACTTAATCTATTTCCTTGGTCAGTCCTTCCATTTTCTTAAGGTATAGCTATCTCTTGTCGGTCCTTGTTAGGTCTGGCAGATACATATATGAGACCTGAGGTTGACAAATAGATTCTCTAGTAAAGAAATTCCATCAGATCTCTTTTCTGGTCATTATGACTTTGCCTGTGAATGCCTCTCTAAACTCTGTTCCTCTTTGTATAGAATTTAATTAAGATTTCCCATCTACCACTTCTTTATACCTTTCATTAAAAGTTTAAAAGATATTTGAGTTTGAAATAGAGCATCTTCACACTCTCTATTAAATCATCTCTCAGAGACAATATTGGATTCTGATTTCAAAGAAAGCCAGGTCTGAGTACATGCAGTATTCGAGGATACAGCACAGTGCTGAATTGCTGCAGCTGGTAATTGATATATTGCTCTCTGTTATGAGAACTGTGATCTACAGTACTATGGGGGTTCCTTTGAGGCTTCCATACTGTCTGTGAAACTGAGCTTGTCTTACCTGAAAACAAATAAATATTCTGAATAATTCATTAGAATTTTCTGATACTGTCAGGGTTGGTGATGTATTTAATGGTTGACTGGATTAAGGGTTGGGGGCAAGGCTTTTAGGAGGCTGAATCCCTCCCTTTCCTGATGCTTCATACATATTCTAGAACTTTGAGGTATTTTATATCTTCCATTGACTGAGCTGTTTTGGAACACCACACTGAATTAGCCAATGAGGCCAATCTAGTATCTGGGCCAGTGGTGATAAACCGTGGATAAAAATATACCAAGTGATTTCCCTAGAGGTGAGGTAAATACTCCATTGGATCTATCTCTCAATCACTCCCTCCACTGCAATACATCTCCAAACACACACCCACCCCCCGCCACACACACATTGTATTAGTTCTCATGCTGCTAATAAAGATATATCTGAGACTAGATAATTTATAAAGGAAAGAGGTTTAATGGTCTCACATTCCATGTGGCTGGGGAGGCCTCACAATCATGGTGGAAGATGAAGGAAAAGCAAAGGGACTTCTCACATGGTGGTGGGCAAGAGAAAGATAGCTGGTGCAGGGAAACTCTGCTTTATAATTGTGAGACTTATTCACTATCATAAGAACAGCATGGGAAAGACCCACCCCCATGATTTAATAACCTCCCACCAGGTCCCTTCCATGCATGACACGTAGGAATTGTGGGAGCTACAATTCAAGATGATATTTGGGTGGGAACACAGCCAAACCATATCACACAGCCACAAAGACACACACACACACACACAAACACACGAGCTGTAAATTCTTAGAGTTTTGTCATTGATTCTTCCCCTGAATTCCTCTCAAAACTAACCCATAGAAAGTTCAATAAAAGCTACTGTACCCTGGCCCTGGGGTGGGTAGGAGCGGGGAGGTGGAGGAATCTACGTTGTTGATTGGATGGAACCTGAGAGCAGAGGAGGGAGGCAGGAAGGGAGAAGGAAGAGGAGGGAGATAAATTATATATAAATCGAAAAATATCTTTTTGGAAAATGAAAACTGGAAAGCATCAGAATATAGTGCGAAAAGTAACTTTATAATTGCTTCTCAAATAAAGGTTAAGAAATATGACTTTATGATTTTTTTTTTCCTAAAATCCTTCTGCTTCCATTCAATATATCTGAGTACCCAATCATGGGTCAAATTAAAGGGGCTGGTGCCAATAACTAGGATCTCCTTAAGAGGGGTCAGCAACTTCAAACAGGGCTTGATCAGATAGAAGGATAACAGTGAACTTTTATTGTGATAACTGGCTTGGCTGGAAATTCCCATTTGTTACTCACAGTTTTCACGTTTCTTTTTCCAGAGTAATTTCCCTTGAGACTTTTCTTTTTTTTTGATAGTTACCATTTGTGTATGTGTGTGTGATACTAATATGTGCAGTGCTATATCCTGCCTTTCATTTTGTTCTTCTTTATGTTTTTCTTATTTTCTTCACTTAACGAGTTTATGTAATATTTCACGAAAATGATATAACTCATCCTGGCTAAACACTCAATAATAGGCTTTCTAATCAGGATCAATATTATAATTTATGTTTTACTTTGAATAGAGTGTGTTTTTGTATGATTCAAGCATTTACTTGCAGAAGGCTCCTAGAGAAATTGAAGTTGTCCGTACCTGTATATTTTGCCAAAACCACAAGTATCACTCATTTATTTGGAAGATATTGATTGTATGCCAGGCACAGTTATAGGCTACGGAAATAGGTAAAGAAGACACTCAGGTGCTTGCCTTTGCATAACTTTTATTCTAGTGTAAAAGACAGAAAGATAATAAATATATATACAATATAGGTAGTGACAATTGCTAAGACAAACACCAAAGCAAGAGAAGAGGTTAGAGAGTGATGAGAAGGGAGTGGGTAATCTATCTTACACAGCAGAGTCAGGAAGCCTCCTCTAGCCAGGTGACATTTAAACAGATACCAGAAGGACAAGATGGAATCAGCCAGCTAGTGGTCTCAGCAAAGAGAACATCTCAGACAGTGGGACTAGGAAGCACAAAGGCAAGGCAGGAAAAGGTTGAATTGTTCAAGAAACAGTAAGAAAGCTGGAGTAGAAAGAAATGGAGGAATAAAGCCTGAGAGTCGCAGGAGAGAATTTCTGAGAGGGTCACATTCTCTGGAGCCATACAGGAAAATGAGTTAGGTAAGTCAAATTTGAGGCAGCATTTGTTACTCCTTCCCCCACCTAACAGCCACTGACAAGGTCTTAGAAGGAGAGAATTAGGATCACCATCTAAGTCATCATCATTGTTGTATTACTGCAAACACAAACAAGTGTAAATGCTACAAACACAAAGGGAAAACCCTGCCACTCTAGTTGCTTGATTTCGCACTGGCTTTAGGAGATTTATTTACCAAATCATCTGGGAATTCTGCAGTTTAGTCAGTACATGACCTGTCATTTCCAAAATACAGTAGGTGGACTCATTTGTGCTCTAATCACATAGTATCACAACTATTCACAGACTTTGAAAATCATTTCTATTCAGACTCTTGTCCTTATCTGACCTTGACATACTTAAAATATTTATGAAGTCTGCAATTTATTCCTTTCTCTTTTAATCTGAGTTATTGGTTGAACTGTTGCTCACACTTGGTTAATCTGCCTTTACCTTTAGGCAGAAATCTATGTGGCTACAAACTGCTGTGATAAAACTTTCAACTGGCTAATTTTTATGGAGAAAATCTTGGGTCATAAGATTCACTCTCTCTCTCTCCTTTTTTAATTTATATTTTTCATTCTCTATAGCCACTTCCTGTCTCCCATCAAAGATTTTAATATATTTTTGTTTTTTCTGTAAGGCAGTAAAGACATCATAATTCCCATAAACTTACATTTAAGAAGGAATTCCTGTCATACCAATAGACAGGTAAAGAGGACACTCAGGTGCTTGCCTTTGCATAAATTTTATTCTAATGGAAAGGAGACAAAGTTAATAAATACATATACAATATAGGTAGTGACAATTACTAAGACAAAAACTGTATAACTAATATGATTAAACAGCAAATTGTTTCTTAATTTTGATGCTGATTATCGAAGGCAAGTAAATTTAACTCGTTTTATTAGTCTGATAAAACTACTAAATAGAGTCACAGCTTCAGAGATCTGACTTGGTCTGGTCGCACCTCTGTCTGGCTGGGTATCCTTAAACTAATTATTAATCTCTGTCCACTTCTTCACCTATAAATGTTAATAAGAGTTTAAAAATTTTAGTAGTATCCAAGTATTATTTGATAAAGGAAGATTCCAACCATAGATCTGTCTGCAGACAGTTATTAAAAACAATCGGTCACAAAACTGTACTTTAAAAATAAGTGATTAAGGAATACAGATCGTTTATCAATTATTTAAAAATAAAATAACAAGAAGTACAGGTCAAGTGTCTTTAATGTTAGGTGGAAAACTAGAACAAGACAACAATTTGAATAAAACTATAATGTATCCCATTGAAAATGGAAGAGAAAATTTTATTTTTGCACCACATTATGTCATCAAGATTGCTAAGTCAGTGGATTATTAGAATAATAAGTGGATTTTTGGTTGTTAAATTTTATTATTAAGGGATATACATAAGAAAAGGATTATAGCAGGTCTGCAGACACATTTCTTTTTGGAGGTATTTATTTTCAATAATTGAAGGATTGTAGATCTTATTTATCATTTCAAACATAAATTTCCCACAAGAAACTTGTAGATTTTTATTTTCTTACAAAATGAATTATTTCTTTTTACTAAGTTTCTCCTATCTCTAGTCTCATCAGATCACTGTGACACAATTTGAAAAGTTAACTCTAGTTCTTATCTCCACATGTTTACATCTTTGAATGTAAATTTTTGACAGGCATTCAAAAAACATTAACTAGTGACTAAAAGGGGAGTGGAGAGAATATATATGTATCTACTAGTTAACAAAACAAATTCCTTGTTAGACTCAGTTCTTTCAGTTTGTAAGAGCTACCAAAGAATCCTTCATCTTTTTCATTCAGAGTTTTATCCCCCTTTGTGTTCACAGCTGAGTATCTTAGAGCTATTAAGCTGAGAATGCTCTGCAGAGGAGCAAAGATACCTAAAGGGAAATGACAGTTGGTGCTGGGGATATAAACGTCATTTGAATACACCTCCTCTCCCTCTACATTTTGTATTTCTTACCTCTGAATTTCATTTGAATGCTTTTCTATATAAAGACATCAAGATGGTGACTCAGTTGCCTTAAGTATCTGATAACACAATATTCAATACAAAATGGTATTATCAATGGAAAGTTTTGTGTCATGTATAATGATAATCTTAGTGGTATCTCAATGAGCATTGGATTTTGGACCATTGGGTAACATGCTTGAAAATGAATGACTCTTTGTAAGACACTGTCATGAGCATTTATTTCAGCATTATCATTTGATTCCCAACTATAATAAGCTGTTCAGTATATGCAGTGAACCTTTTGGGGTTCCTTCTCTGAGAGTTTGGAATTGGGACTGGAAGGTTTCAATTACAGTGAGGGCTGGTCTCTTGGTAAGAGAAGATGCAAAATCTAGAGCTATGGCCATTTTTAGTAGGTGAACTGAGTAATTGATGAAGATGATTTGCCAAAACCAAGGGTAAAAGGATGAAGTTGACCTACAGAGAGAGAGAGAATGAGAGAGAAAGACAAACTTTTTGTGGGTCCAGGAGCCAGACTGCACTCTTGCACTGAGGTTCTGAGACACCCCCTGCATCCTTATAATACATTCCCCCTTTGCCTGTTGAAGTGAACAAATTTGGTTTCTGTTGCCTCCAACCTAAGATTTCTAATGCAACATGTTACAGATACTCAAAGTCAGTATTTATTCTAAGATTCATTGATTTTTAATTTTCAGATAACCTTTCAGAGAAATAAACCATGACTTGTAGCACCACCATTCATGGGTGATATTGTTCACATACCTTCTTCATACTTTATCTCAGGCTTTCACTATTTTTCTCTTTGCCTGGGTTTTTCTGCTTATTTCATCATTGTCAATCTTGACCAAACATGAAATTCAGAACTCCTAGCAGGATTCATTCATTAGGTAATTAAAACCTGATCCTTCAAATTGGATTATTCTCACCTAATCCCAAAGAGAGAAAGCAATTTATTTGCTTTTGCCAGACTCTGGTGTTGTAAAACAAAATTCCAAAACATATTTATTGATTAAATTAGCTTCTATCCTCCTGACTGTTCTGATCAGCCAAATACTTTATGCAGAATCAGATAGATGCAAGTTGAACAAATAAGGCATTTGACCTGAGAGCATACCCATTCCTATTTAGAAAGGTGTGGTTTCTAAGACAATTACAGGAAATTGTAACTTGTGCCAGCCTTTTAAACAATATGACTGGCTGCAAAATTAACTAACTTCTTATTAGTCAAATATAATAATAGCTACCTTTCTTGAGTGCCTCATATAGGTTAGGCATAATTCTGAGCATTTTTTGTGTAGCACTGAAACCTTCCTGTGAGGATTCACAGAGCGGTTTACTAAGGTTAAACTACTTATCCAAGAATATAGAGTAAGAGACAAAGCTATGATTTGAATCCAATTCCCTCTGAATTTCAGCATTAAGGTGCTTTTTTCCCACCATACAATGCAGTTTCTAAATAAATAATCATCCCTACTTATTCTAAAATGAACATGAGGGAAAATACAAAGAAAGTTTCCCTCAATCTGGAAAGCACCCCCTTTCAAAAAAAAAAAAAAAAGAGAGAATGCTTAGAAAAGCTAACATAAATTTGCAAGAACAAAAAACCAAACACCACATATTCTCACTCTTAGGTGGGAATTGAACAATGAGAACACATGGACACAGGAAGGGGAACATCACACTCTGGGGACTGTTGTGGGGTGGGGGGAGGGGGAAGGGATAGCATTGGGAGATATACCTAATGCTAGATGACGAGTTAGTGGGTGCAGCACACCAGCATGGCACATGTATACATATGTAAGTAACCTGCACATTGTGCACACGTACCCTAAAACTTAAAGTATAACAATAATAAATTTTAAAAAAAGTAGAGATCACATTTATATTTAATTTTGTTTTTGAGACACAGCCTCACTCTGTCACCCAGGCTGGAGTGCAGTGGCATGCTCATGGCTCAGTGCAGCCTCAACCTCCCTGGCTTGTGATCCTTCCAGTTCAGCCTCCCTAGTAGCTGGGACAATAGGCATGCATCAACATGCTGGGTTAATTTTTTTATTTTTTCTAGAGACGGGTTTTTCTATATTGCTCAGGCTGGTGGTCCCAGAGAGTGTTAACATTTTTACTGGACTGCTCTAAAAATAAAAGTTAAGTTTTTCCACTTCTGACAGATCATAACAGGCTATCATTGCACACTATATTATAATCCTAGTGGATGATAACATTACTAATGCTAGAGCTCTTGGGGGTGTAAATGTCGCTAAAGATGGATTTGTAACCTGCATGTCTTCCTACAATAGGTTCTCATAAAGATGCATCTTTTCCTTTGCAGCTGCAGTTGCGATTTGTAAGGCTTGTTTTTGTCTACAGTTCTACTCTTGAACCTCATAATCTACCCAAAGTATTTGTTTAAAATGAGATGTCCCATTTCTGCTTACTGCACAGCACTGTAATCTGCCAGACGTGGTGACAGCCCAGGATTCTGTGGCTGTGCTCCATTTTCTGAGGTAGTTTGTATAAACCTCCTGTGGTCACTGCACTTAACCTCATCCTGTAACAGCTGTTTGGGCAGCCTGTTGTCATCCATATTCTCTGCTTGGACAACCCTGAAAAACTGTTATGACAGGTATCACTTTAATCTATTAATCAACACAAAATGTGCAAGACACAGTGTTAAAGGACAGGACATGTTCTTCTTTGTGATTTCGCTGGGGGGATGATACTACACACAGGGAAAGACAACATACAAGCCAAATGAGTGGCACTAATAACTGATCACATAAAGGGTCACAGAGAATGTGGGAAATGAACTTGTTCTGAAAGATGAGTAGGATTTTAAAAACAGTTGGGGCGGGGTGGGGAGACTAGACGGCATACAGAAGCTACTACTTGAGAAAAACTTCTTAGGTCCCAACCTCTGTCCTAAGGACTTTATATGCATCATCTCCATGAATCCCCACAACATATTGTTTGTATTGATAATCTCCAATTTTACAGATAAGCAGCACAGGCTCCATTAAGTCATTTGTCCTGTGGAAGAATAGGAATTTAAACACAGATCTTTCATGCTCTTAAAGTTTATGCTACAATATATAGTCTGAGCAAAGATATGGAAAAAAAATGCAAAACACATTTTTAAATGTAAGAGCATTAAGAAAAGTAGAAATAATTTGCACTTGACCCCACTGCAAGAAGTTGGATGGATATCTTTGAAAGTTCTGCAGCAAGGTAAGAATATGAGGAAATAAAGTTTTGGAAAAACTGAAGGAGAAAAATTACTGGTTATAAAGATCAAGTAAAAGTAACAATATTGGTCTAAACCATGAAGTTACTGCAGGAAGTGAAAAGAAAATGGAACCTGTTCAGGCCGTTGAAAAAGAACAGTCAAAGGGCTACATCTTACTTTGATGTATGTAACTCCATTTATCTCCTTTTGCTTTTGTTGCCTGTGCTTTTGGGGTCTGTATCCAAAAAAACCTTGCCCAGACCAATGTCATGTAGCATTTCCCCTGTGTTTTCTTCTGGTAGTTTTATTGTTTCACGTCTTATATTTAAGTCTTTAATCCATTATGCGTTGATTTTTGTATATGGTGAGAGATGGGGTCTACCTGTGTGAATATCCAGTTTTTGCAGCACAATTTATTGAATACACTGTCCTTTCTCCATTGTATGTTCTTGGCACTTTTGTTGAAACCAGTAGGCTATAAGTGCATGGATTTATGTCTGCGTTATCAACTCAATAGCAAAAAACCTCCAATAATCCAATTTAAAAATCAGCAAAGACCCAGAAAGATATTTCTCAAAAGAAGACACACAAATGTGTAACAGTTTTATGAAAAAATGCGGAACATCACTAATCATCAGCAAAATGCAAATGAAAACCACAATGAAACACCTGTTAGATTGACTATTCTCAAAAAGACAAAATTAACAAGTGCTGGTGGAGATGTGGAGAAAGGGAAACTGTTAGCGGGAATATAAATTAGTACAGCCATTATAGAAAACAGGATGACGTTTCCTCAAAAAATTAAAAACAGAATTACCGTATGATCCAGCAATCTCACTACTGGCTATAGATCTAAAGGAAGGGCAATAAGTGTGAGAGATACCTGTACCTCCATGTTTATTGTGACACTATTCACAATAGTCAAGATAAGGAATCAACCGAAGTGTCTGTCCACCAATGGATGAATGAGTAAAGAAGATATGGTATATATACACAATGAGATACCATTCAGCCATTAAAAATGAATGAAATCCTGTTATCTACAGAAAGGTGGATGAACTTAGAGGACATTATGGTAAATGAAATAAAGTAGGCACAGAAAGACAAATGTCACATGATCTCACTCATATGTGGAATCTAAGGAAGCTGTTCTCATGAAGTAGAGTAGAACAGAGGCTGAGGAGGGGAGAGGGGAAGGGGAATGGGGAGAGACTGGTCAATGGGTGCAAAGTTACAGTTAGGCTGGAGGGATAAGTTCCAGTGTTCTGTCACACAGTAGGATGACTATGGAAAACAATACTGTAATTGTACATTTTAAAATAGCTAAAAGAGAGAATTTTGAATGTTCTCATCACAAGGAAATTATAAATGTATAATTTATAGATATGCTAAATTGCCCTGATTTGATTTTTACACAAAATATAAATGTATCAAAACACACTGTACTTCATACATATGTATAATTATTATGTGTCAATGAAAACACTTTAAAAGTTTTTTTTTTTTTTTTTTTTAATGGAATCTCACTCTGTGGCCCAGGATGGAGTGCAGTGGCGTGATCTCAGCTCACTGCAACCTCCACTTCCAGGGTTCAAGTGATTTTCCTGCCTCAGCCTCCTGAGTAGCTGGGATTAAAGGCACGCACTACCACGCCCGGCTACTTTTTGTATTTTTAGTAGAGATGGGTTTTCACCATGTTGGTCAGGCTGGTCTCAAATTGCTGACCTCATGATCCACCTACCTCTGCCTTCCAAAGTGCTGGGATTACAGGCGTGAACCACCGTGCCCAGCCTTTAAAATCTTTTTAAAGAGTTATGTCTTGTTTGATCTGTTAAAGGGATCTGTACTCTACCCAGTTTTCATCCAGTTGATTCAGAATTTTCAAACAATTGGTTTCAGAACAAAATCAGTATTAAAAATACTGAAAAATATTTTTTAAACGGGAGTCTTTTCAAGGTTTTTGTTCTAGTTTCTGCCCCTTAATAACTTTTCATAACATTATGAAAGTCACTTCGGTTCACACACAAAAAAAAGTAGTGAGGTGTGGCCATAAGAATAAAAGTATAATACAAATACTTGTAAATATCCAGATGAAGAAATATTTAGAAATACATGGATTTTTATTTATTTTGCTTGCCATATTTTACAAAGAAACAATACTAGTATTAGTTTTTCTGCAGTAGAGTATATATTTTGCATAATTTGAAAGATGAACTTCTAAGCAGAGAAATCAGTATATATATTGAGATCCTTATCAACCATGTCTAAGTCTTTGCTGGACATTTAGTCAATTGATCATCGTTTTTAAAACTGCAAATATGAATATAAAAAGTCTGCACAGACCTCTATTTCAGGAAAGTATATTTCTTTACTTTCGTGAGTACATATTTAGAGTAGGAATTTTAGAAAATGATCAGAATGAGTTTTTTCCATTAGCTGTGACCAAGAACTGGATAGAACAGCTGGGCCTCATCTAACAGAAAACAACTGTGTCATACGGAACTTTCTTCCCTTAAAATAATATTTACAATTTCTCCACAGAAATTCTTCTCTGATGCTTTGCTAACTGCAATCCAGCTTACAGTGAATTTTTAAAATTTTTTATTTATTTTTTCACACATCATCTTTATTTGCTCATGATTATTTTCTGTACTCATACCTCTACTGCATTCTTCTTCATAGAGTATCCAAATTTTTCCAAATACTATGTAAAGAAACCTTCTGTTAACAAAATCTTTGTGAGGAAAATAAGCATAATACTTTTGAATAAGTAAGCTATGAGCATAACTCTTACTGAGATAAAACTGCAGCAGAAAAACATAAAGGTTAGGGAAGAACAAAAGATTCATCAGCGTTCTATTTTTTAAACATCTGGTGATTTCTTTATGTAAGAGTTGTAAAATGGTAACGGGGTCAAGACAACATATGTATGTTTTCATTCAAAGATACAATTGTGTTACCTTGTGTTTCTATGTCATTTTTGTTCTATGGCTACAGAATTTACAACTTTAGAGACTCAAAATTAGAAAGTCAGCCCAGAAATTTGAGTCTAATTGTGAGGAAAATGAAAAATGAATCACTAAAGCAAATCAGCTAGATATGGAAGAGGCCAACTGAATGTTTGGCTTTTTTTATGTGCCCCAAACTAGAAGACTGAATTATGATTCATGAAGCCATTCATTCTCTTTAGGTCTGAGAGTTAATGGATTAATAATTTTTATTTGAATGCTGAAGATTCTTAAGTCACTTAAAAAAAACAAGCAAGTGCTTAAATCATACAGATAGTCCGGCAAAATGAAGAGAGATTTAGGACACGAATTTCATCAGCTATCTCACACTCATAGTTGAAGGATGAAACTGAGAAATTTTGTTTGAGTCCACAAATTATTTTCAGAAGTAAAAGTGATGCATTAGTGTGGCTGGGAGAGACTTGACAATATGATTTAACCTGCATAATTATCTAATGTATTATTTTCCAAACTACTTGATTAACCTGTAACTTCCATATAATCGGAAACATGTTTTTAAAGCACAATTGCCTGATCAACATTCCTTAATTAAAACATGTTGTCCTAATATTTATATTCACTAGATAAATAACATGATTTTTCAATTTCCTCAAAGGCCTTGACAGACACAAGTAAAATTGATGGCAGATGAAAACTGGTTGTTTTGGATCAAATGCGAAATAACCTCTTCAGGCCTTTTTATTATGGTATAGCTCTCTGTCAATCATGTCGTTTACGAGTGCTTCTTCATTAAAATTGTACTGCCAACCATTTCCCTTTCCAAATTTCCTTCCAGTTCCTGTGTATGTATATGCATTGATTCATTCTTTCATTAAACATCTAACATATTCCAGGTAATATATACCATATTGCTGATGTCCCTGCTTCCTGGCTATACCAGACTCAAGTTTCACTGCAAATGTCTCTCCCCCCATGGAATTTCCTCTTTTTTTTTTTTTCCTTCATCCAACTATGTCTTCTTACCCATCCTTCAAGACTCTGCTTAAGTTTCACTCTGGTTCCACTTTTGTTTTTGACCACTCCAACTTACGCTGATCTTAGCCACTAAATCTGAGTTAATCTTTTTTAACTGACCTATACAATTACTTAACTCCCTTGTCAAACATATCTTATTTGTCTACCAGTAGGCAAGCTCCACGTTAGGGATCCTATGAAGTGCTTTTTGCACAGCACTAAACACAGTGAATATTTAATGGTCAAGATTATGTGTTGAATGAAAGAAAGAATGATTAAATGGCCGAATAACTGACAGTGAAGGAATAAATCTGAGTGGTTGCCCAGAAGTCATGAAAGCACATAAGTCATTAAAGCACATTTTTACGTCTGGGAAACACTGGTGTTGATAAACTAGAAGATGGGTATTGGAGATTAAAAGCAAAGCTATATATCTGGGATGTATGTATATATATGTGTGTGTATATATATATATATATATATATATATTTATATATAATATTTTTATATATCCCAAATCTGCTGTGTCCAGAAATGTTAAAGTGTAGTGTTCACTGCAGAAACTTCTTTCACTCCAAGCAATGCTTGCTTTGCTCTTCCTGGGGCTCACCTGGGCTTGCCCTTCCTAAGCTGTGCTCTGTGACATCTGTCCTGCCTAATCCCACTCTTTCTTACATAAAACTTGGCCATATTTCTTCACAACTTATTCAATTTCATTGGTTTTTAGCTGAGGAAAATGTCCCTCTGATAATATTTAGACAAGAGATTTAACTGCCTTAACAACAAAAAAACAAACACAATATGGTTACTTGGAAAAATTATATAAGCTTTGGAAATTGGTTTGATATGCTGCTGGCTTCAGAGTCTCCTAAATCAAATGTTACAGTCCGCTGATTAATCTGCTTAGGTACAGGACTAGATTCCATTTCATGCTTTAAACAACAATAGGCTTCATGCACAGTTTCATCCATGTGGCCTTCAAGTAAACATCACCAAGGCAACTGTGGCTTCCTGACTCTTATATACTTCCCTATGGCATGGCATTTTCCTGTCTGAAAATGATTACATTCATCATTATTTGCTTATGTCTATTTATTCTAGAATGTGAGCCCACAGAGGCAGGAACTGTGTTTCTTTCCTCAATGCCGTATTTATTGCACCATTATGGTGTCAATACGGTGACCAATAAGGCCAGTGATGGCCGAATGAATAAATGGACACTCTGAACTCAAACTTGGATCGTTATTAGGACCATTAATATGACCATATGATCCAATAAGCCAGTCACTAATCTCCAAATATTCACATAATTGCTTCAATTGTAGAGGTCAAGAAAGACAGTCTGATGGCTCAACTGTATGTTTTAAATTACAGTAAATTAATAAACAATATTTTCTGATGGTAGAAAAACCTCCCCCAGCTGCCATCTTGCTGTTTATGCTTCTTGTATTCCTCACATTTTTGTGAAAAATATACTAAAGTTTTAGATGATATGACTGAAAGCAAAGCGAGGATAGATATAGGGAATTGGGAAAGTGTAGTGAAATATGTGAACTAATAAATACATTAAAAAGAGAATGAGTGAATTTTTTACAAGGTAGCCTATTAGGCACTTTTTGAGGATATCACTTATGTACCACATATAGTCATCTGACAGTTAAGTCATTCACTCCTGGTGGGTGATTTTTAACAGATGGGGGGGACAGAAGACTAGTGTCTCATAGCAGATTGTTTTCAATGTTGAAGGGGCCTATGCTGAATGTGCCACCATTTAAGAAGGTATGTCATATATCTGGGGCACATGGATGTATGCTTTCAATATTTAAGTGAAAGATATATGTAAAATTATATGGTGAATCTGAAGAGGCTAGTTTTTTAAGTCATTTATTAATTGGTATATGCTGTAGTTACATTTTAAATTTTTGTGTGCTTTTTAAAGATGTTGAATTGTTTCATTTGATTTTTCTTTATTATTGGTACACACATTTTGTGGTACATGTGATAATTTGATACATTCACATAATCAAATCAGGGTAACTGGACTCTCCAACACCTTAGACGCTTATCTTCTCTTTCTGATTAAAAAAAATTTGACACACACATTTGAATTATTCTCTCCTAACTATTTTGAAATGTATAGTCAGTGAATACTAACTATAGCCACCTTACTGATCTATTGGGTACCAGGTCTTCCTTCTTCTATTTAACTGTTTATTTGTATCCATTAATCAACCTTTCTTCATCACTCTCCTCCCTGCCACATTTCACGGCCTCTGGTAACCACCAATCTCTCTGACTTCATGAGGTCCACTTTATTTTTTAAGCTCCTATGTATGCTTTTTTTAAAATAAAAAAACATAATTTGGCTGAAAATACACACACACATAGCTAATACTTGAGAAAATAATCCTTTACAATAAGAAAATGTTAAAAAAAAAAAAAAAGAATAATGAGGTTTAAACCCACATTCTATCCAGCCTCACTCTGAGGTCTCAATAGTTGATTATGAGCTATAAATAAAAGTTCAAGGTAGATGCAGACGCCCACAGGTGTTTTACATCTCTCTATTTTTATTTTGTTTCTCTTGGTGTTTCCAGGATTCACGGAAAATTCTCAGTTTTTCTGTTGATTTAAAAAGATGGCTAAGCCAGGTGATAGTCACATGAAATGAACCTGATGCGAGAGTAAGAGGCTAACAGGAAACATATATTTTGTTTCTTTCAAAATCAACTCAAAAGTTTAAAAGAGAAAATATTAATACATTAGTCTGTCTGCCTTATTTAAAATTCAACTTAAATGATAATTTTGTGTATAGGTAATCGTTATCCTGCTTCTGAAATATAACATTTACGTATTAAACTACATTTTCTGCTACACATCTTTTATCCATTTCTGGACAAAAAACAATTTTTTGAAAGTTTGAGAGACTATCATTTTTCCCTTCTTGCTTGCTGAAGTTTATACGAGTCATCTGATTTTACAAACTAGCCAGAAATGGTCTGAATCTAAAAGAATTTTGGAGGTTAAAAATGTGGTGTCTTATGTTTTACTTAAAACTCTACTTATATGGGGATTATTTCTATAAGGACTTAGAGGTGAAAAAACGTCTGTACGGCTTAAACATTTTTTTTCTACTGTAGAATATTTATCCATGTCTATTGAGGGGAAAATGTGTTTCATAAGTTTAATGGGAAATATTTCCTTCCCTGAAAGCTGTCTTAAAGCATATCATAGTTAATTTTTATGGCCACATAATAGCTGTACGTATTTATCGGGGTACATGTGATGTTTTGATACAAGCATACAATGTGTAATGATCACATCAGGGCAATTAGGGTAGCTATCACCTCAAGCATTTATCATTTCTTTGTGTTAGGAATGTTCCAATTCTATGCCTGTAGTTATTTTTAAATATACACTAAGTTATTGTTAATTATAGTCACCCTATTAAGCTACCAAACACTAGATTGTGTTCATTCTGTTCTATCTAACTGGACTTTTGTACCCTTAAACCAACCCCGCTGTATTCCCCCATCTCCACTGCTCTTCCCACCCTCTGGTAACCATCATTCTACTCTGTATCTCTTAAAGATTCTGGTAAGATTTTAAAAGTTTGGGCACAAAAATCAAACCTGAATCCATCCATCAGATCATACCTGTGGGTGGTTATGTTGTAACAGAGAATTATTTCTTGCAGAACAGTAATAGCAGGTTACTTTTCCATAACATTAAGTGGCATGTCATGTTCTGATTCATAATGCAGTTTCATTAAAATAACAAAAACAAGATATTGTCTGATATAAACAACACTGGAAAATATTGAGGTTTACATAAATGCACTTGCCTTAAAATAGATGATGGTGAGATGGGGTGTGAAGAAATACCAAAGGAAGAAAAATACTAAAAATGAATTTTCTGTTGCTTCTTTTTACTTGAATCAATTCCCAAGCAAGGCTTCCATTTAATTTAAAGAGTTATTTAGTCTAACCACATTGATAGCCAGAATGAAGTGACTCCTAGAGGAATCATTATGTTTGTAATGTGCCTCTATTTCTGTAACTTATTTACCTCATAAATCCTGACAGATGATTGCCCAGCACAGACTCAAATTCATGCAGGGTTCATACTATAAATTCTTGTGTGAACAGTTACATATATATATATATATATATATATATATATATATATATATATACACACACACACATACATACACACACACACACATATATATGGACTTAGAGGTGAAAAAATATATATAGACATATATGGACTTAGAGGTGAAAATATATATATAGACATATATGGACTTAGAGGTGAAAATATATATATAGACATATATGGACTTAGAGGTGAAAATATATATATTTGCTGTAAGACGTTGGTGTGGGAGGATACGTCTTAAAAGAGAAAGTGGCTTTCTCTCAACATTAAGAAAGTTATAAACCACTCTATATGCATTCAGTAACTTTAAAATGTTACTAAAAAATGGTTGAGAAATACGTATTTCAGAATAATATTATCATAAATCAAAAGTGGGAGTTCAAATGGAAAACCAAGATAACACATCATTTTACATACTAGTTGTTAAAAAAAACACAGAGGCTCAATTTGAATTTTTATGTGTATTCCCAAATCCTATTGCATTAATATAAATTGGTGACCTTTGATGGCCATTTTCCTTTCCCAACCTATGAAACTGCAATGAATTTGATTAACAGCTACAAATCTGTTAGTTAAGGTGCTCAGGCTGGGGGAAACCACAACCGACAATCTTCTCTGAATAAGAGTCAATGGCCAAACAAACTTGGAGCTATGAGTAAATATTAAATAAAGCATGGAACAATGTTACTCCAATTGTGATTGAAATTGTGTCACTCAGCTATCCATAAATACATAGCATACATTTATTTTTCTTACATGCTTATTTTTTTTTGGTTTGCAATGCATATGTGGAAAATAAGTAGTCTGATGAACATAATGAGATGTATGAACTTCAACTATAAATAGCTTACAAAATAATAGGTTAATAATTCAGCAAAATAAATGCCCTGTATAAACCATCACCTTGGAAGGCCATATACACCTTAATCCCATGACAAAGCCAATAGTAAAAACAAGTGTAGAACTTCTCTTTTAAAATTATTTCACAGGCTGAAGTAACTACAGATTGTAATATTCACAGAATTGAAATTTATGTCCTGGGACTAAGCAGCATGTTAGAGTTAAGACCAGGCAGGAATTCCTAAAGGGCACCCCAAATCCAGAAATCTGGGGAAAAACATATGCAGCAATAATTTAGTTTTCCAGAAGAAACAAAAAAAATTAATCAATTTATTACTAAAGAGGTAGTATCATCATAGTGACCACAGGGTATGTGTTGCACTTCCCTTTCTGTCTAGGGCACCAAGTAAGTGCCATCATGGAGTTTGTCTTCCTGTCTAAAGCATCTGATATTTACATGAGCTGCATGTGGACCGGTGTTCTTAATTGAGGAAAAGGTGAGAGGCCTTGGATAATGGTTATTGAAAACTGTTTTTTGTGGAAGAGTGTTATCACGGGCTTTGGAAAATAGATTGAAGTGTTCTACTGCTAAAATTGAAAGATGAAAAAAATTAATTAAGAGAAGTCTGATATTTTAGAGATGACAACCGAATCTCAATAGGGAAATTAAACAGCCAGTGACAGTGGAAGAGAGAGGAAAGCTCAGATCTTCTGATTTTTGTGTTGAATCCTTTTTCCACCTGAAACTGACTTCAACATGGCATTTGATAATGTGTATCAGGAAATCCTTGTGGGTGAGTGGAAGAAACATTAGCTGAATAACAGTAATATTAGGTGAATTTAATGCTGATTGGACAACTTGAACACAAGAGGGTTAAATAACATCCTTGTTGGCTGGCACGTGGCTCATGTCTGTAATCCCAGGCCTGTATTCCTTTAATTTTCTATTACAACTGAAAGAGGCATTAATAGATTGTTTTAGATATTTCTGCATCGCTGGTGATTTTTTAAAAAGTAAATTAAATCAGGCTACTTTTTTGATAAACTGTCAAAAATCAAAAGATTTTAATGGCCGGGAGCGGTGGATCATGCCTATAAATCCTATCACCTTGGGAGGCCGAGGCGGATCACCTGAGGTCAGGAGTTTGAGGGCAGCCTGGCCAACATGGTGAAACACTGTCTCTACTAAAATACAAAAATTAGCCACGCGTGGTGGCAGGCACCTGTGATCCCAGCTATTCGGAAGGCTGAGGCAGGAGAATTGCTTGAGCCTGGGAGGTGGAGGTTGCAGTGAGCAGAGATTGTGCCATTGCACTCCAGCCTGGGCGATGAGAGAAAAACTCCATCTCAAAAAAAAAAAAAAAAATTTAATGGTTATTACTGGCAAAAATTTGGGTATTTCTTACCTGTTGCTGAAGGACAACACGACAATATGCATTAAATGCTTTTTAACAGCACATATTTTTGATATTTATACTTTGCATTTCCAAATTTATATTTAGAAATTTTCCCTAAACAATCATAAATATGTTCACACATGTTTGCACATGATTATGAGAGTGCTGGGGAGGCTGAGTGGCTTATGAAGAACACATCTCCTTAGTGAAACACTGCAGATTTTCAGAGCCATCATTCATTCTAGATTCTGATTTATAGAAATGGAAAGAGGTTAATGATATGTTGTTGAGTGAAGAAAGCAGATTACAGAAGAGTGAATTCTTTTGTATTTATCTGTGTGTCTCTTGGCATCTATATCTATACCTATGTCATGTGATTACATAATGGTTATGTATATATAAAAGAGTATGTTATGTTATGCAAAAAAATATTGATTGCAATTATGGGTGTCTTTTTGTGTGTTTTACTGCTAATTAATAATTTGTATAACTAAGTGGCAAAATAAATTTAAAATAGTCAAACAAGCATTTACAGAATCACAGAGATCACATGTGGGCAGTGTCCCATTTCAGATCCATATTGACAAAATATCTACTTCTTTCCTGATTATTAAATCCATATGAGCTCACTGAATAGTATTTAGAAAAGTCATAAAAGGGTATGTAAGAACATAGCAGTCTGATTTTCAAAGCGCTGTCATTTTCTTTGCTACCCGTTAGGTAGGAACTTTCACTGTAAATATTTTTGGAATGCTTTCGTTGGGGCTTCCCATATCCATGTTCACTCTAGACCAAATATGAGTGTGACTTACAGATATGCTTCTTCAAATTATAGGGATGGCTTAGTATATCTGTCCCACACACACAATATACATACACACACTATATATGTGCATATACATACACATACACTATACATACACACCATATATGTGTGTATGTGTAGTGTGTACATGTGTATATATAGTGTGTATGTATAGTGTGTGTGCACGTGTATATGACAGATATACTAAGCCATCTCTATACTTCTTAAAAACATATACAATACACTTTGTTAATTGACAATTTTTATATATATACACACATGCATACACTATATACTCACACTCTATACATACACCCATACACACACTATACACACAATATACACACACACTATATATACACATACACACTACATATACACACACACACATATAGTATGTGTATGACAGATATACTAAGCCATCTCTATACTTGAAAACATACACACTTTGTTCATTGACCATTTATATATACATGTGTATGTATACATACACACACACACTGTATGCACACATACACTATACACATTGTAAATGTGTATATATAGTGTGTATAGAATGTGTGTGTGTACATAGTGTGTGTGTATATAAATGGTTAATGAACAAAGTGTATATGTTTTCAAGAAGCAATTGATTTTAAATAAATTGTATAAAGACCAAATTCTTAGAGTCTTTCAACTGTTTCAATGTATTGCCTCAAACAGCTGGTGACCAGAGCTGTGTTTCTGCAGAGGGGACTTGATTGAGCAAATCTTTCTCTGATGGATGAAGGGCTATGAAGAAGGAGAGTCAGCATATTGCATGGCCAAGGTCTAACAGCCAATTTAAAGGTAATTTCTCCTGAGGTTCAGATGTTAATAGAGATACACAGAATGAAAGCCAAACAAAGCAACCTCACCTACGTTTGAAATAAAATGAGAAAAATCTTTGCTGGCAGTTGACTCACAGCATAAAACACTACTAAACATAATAACATCAGCATAATTTGCTTTTTTCTGATGTCTTTTTTAGGTATACTTTGAAAAATAAAATAAACATAGCAGTATACACTGTGAACATTAAAGTAATAGGGTAGACTGAAAGTGTAGTATACTTGTCAAATAGCCACTTGGGCATGCATTTTTTTAAAAAGTTGTTAATATCATTTTTATGTTTTAAAGCTTTTTAAAAATTATACCTTTGTATTTCCACTGATAGGTTCATATTTTAGTTGTTTCTCCTCTTTATATCTTTTGACATGTCTCGCTAGTGTTACAGGGTTAAATGAGATAAATTTGATTAACAGAAAACAAATGCCCCATTAATAATTTAAGCTTTCTACATTATTTTATTTTTTCTGGTTATATAATAAACTATGGCAAATATATCTTAGCACTCAAGAAATTGAGTCTCCATTATTAGCACTGGAAAAAAATCTAGAAGGCATGGGGAATTATGTAGCAGAGGAAAGGAATGAGAAGTTTTTCTCCCAGAAAAATATAACTTTCTAAGCAAAAAAAAAAAAAAAAATTAAGTAAAATTTATAACAGAAAACTACATTCACATTTGTAATATGCTTGCTATTCAAGCAGTCTGGTACAAATTACTGATGTATATCATGCATAGAAATCATACACACAGATGAACTTAAAGAGCAAAGTAAAATGTCCTAACCCCCATTCCAAATTTTCATCTAAAAACTATCCCATGATGGTGCCCCTTTCGATAACAACAAAAGGCACTCGATGTAACAACCTATGCATATGTTTTTGACTCAAAACTGAATCCATAAACCCAGTCACCCATCCATCGACAAATACTTATTGATTACAGTAAACAAGTAATTGAAGGTATATAAAGGCATGCAGAAGTCCCTCAAGAGAGCTACTCTGTCTTATTTCCTCTGTGATAGACTATTAAGATAAGGAACCTGTGCATGGCTACAAGAAATTACCTAAGGTAAACCTACAGTGTTAAGTACCACAAAGAAGATGTGTAAAGCATCCTAGTGGTTTGGAGAAGAAAGAGATTAGTTCCAGCGCAATACAATAATCTACTGTTGGCATAGAAACCATCAGGAACCACAGCAAATATTTGGGACACAGCCTCTGGAATCTTCAGATTCCTAATTCTGTCAGACAGACAGCTAGCATATGTGAAAACACTTTGGGCACTGAAGTGATAACTGGTTTTACTGTAACCATCTTGATTTCTGCATGCTTTGGTTTCTCTGCAAAAGCCATCTATTTTTTTTTCCTGCGTAGAATTTTTTTTTGATTTAATGATTCTATAGAATGGTATGTATCTTTATGAATGTCACTGCATTACTGGTTCCTTCAAAACAGTGAAATGTGTGGTTTGTTGGTAGAAATACACCTTTGCATATCACCCTTAGATAAAAGCAAGAGGCAGAGATCAGTGTTCAGAGGAGTGACTCCATATGGCCATAGCAAACTCCAAGTAGAGACAGAAAAGCAGACTGTGCTGATCAAATGGCAAATCTTTCCCCATGGGGCCAGAATAAAAAGAAACCTTTGACTTTTCGCTGACTGCTTCTGAAAATTCAAGATGAAAACAGGTGCTCAATGGAAAATGAAAGTCTTATTCTCTTTGACAAATTCAGCTTCATTACAAAGTACCACAGACACCTGTAACAGTGTAATCTTAGTGATACCTAGTACATGCTATAAATGGGGGAAAACCCATATTAAAATTCTATTAAAAAGGGTTTTTTCTTCCTTTGATGATAACCATAGCTCCATAAAATACTTGTTTCCTTTCCAAAACTGGTGAATAATATGGTTATTAGATTGCATTTGCTGAGTACTATAAACGTGTTTCCAACCACATTCAGAATCACTTCTAACACACTTTGCCAAGTGGAAGGATGCAAAATAATGCGTTATAAGCCAGAGGTTATACATTAAAATCGTTTGGGGAAAAAAACTATATATACCTCCAGGCCTCCTGATTATAGATAGCAGCAACTGACAGGCTGTATTAAAGTGAGGGCCTTGAGAAAGCTGCATTATGAATTAAGAACAAGTGAGCAGTGAGTATATAAATGTTTCATAAGCCACCCACATCAATGCTAACCCATTCCCCTTATTAGGATCTAGACATATCAACCATATATTTTAAAATTAAAAAGTGATAAGAAGTATACAAGAAAATGAATATCATAATTTATTTGATGTCATTTTAATGGTTTCAGTTTACTTTTTTCTTTTTGCTAGTGTTTGGGTTCAATTGCAGATGATAAGTCTTGGCTATTATTGTAAATATATCTTTTGTGCTCAAAATTACTTACAAAATGCTAATCAGGCTTATTTCCTGCTCAGTTCTATTAGTTTAGCCCTTGAAAGCATAGTTCCTAAGATTTAGAGACAGTTTTTGAATAGTCAAGACCTCCCTATGGCACTGGGAAATTAAATTTGGTTTCTTTCCTGCTTTTGCAGAATGCTTATTCCATCAGGAGTAATTTACTCTAATTAGGGACTATGTGTTCTGAAAATATAAGCACTTCTTCAAGGAAAAATTAAATGTTGTGTAGTTTTCATGTTCCTGTCAACTTCAGGAAAAAACTTATAACCAAAAGCATCTAAGAGAAGAAAGTACTGTATCTCAGCCTGGGCTCAGGGGAGATTTCTGGTGTTCAGATAGCAAGGTAGTCTAATTATCAGCCTACATATTCTAGCCACATGATCAGATAATTAAAAAGTGTTTTCCAAGACTAACCTGTCCTCTACATATTGTAGAAGTTAATATTGGTTTTAATCTCCTGGACACAAGTGACCTTTTTCCCTAGGACATTACCAGAAGGGAAACTCTTTCACCTAAGAGATATGCCAAGAGGCATCATATCTGTAGGAATGAACGATGACCATCAGGCTATGCATATCTTACAGGCTGTATTCAGCAGTAATGAAAAACATGCTTCTTTATGATATCCCCATGTAACATAAAACAAACTTCATAAATTTGCGCTAATTGGATACTATCTTTTGCTTTATAAATGATTGGAAGTTGATCAAAAAAGTGCCCTCAACTTGGAAACACAACTGTCCAAAATCACAAGCTATATTTGTTGGCTTCCCTAGTCAGCCTCACCTGTTTAACAGATTTTGAAATACCTAAAACCAAAGAACAGAAAAACAAAAAGGACTTCCTAGTATTCATTCATAAAATATAAGATGTTTCAAGGCATTCTTGGTTTTGTTTTTCTGTCAGCTGCTTTACACAGGTCATGTGACTTATGCTATGGAGTGGACCCCAGATGGACTGGTCCCCAGATGGACTGCTGGCCATAAGCCACAACCCGTAGTCAGAATGTCCTGATGCCATTTGGTGGTCAGATCTAATTATGTTCATTTATGGGTCCATTATATTTTTAGTTGTAGATATAAAATTTTGCTACCTCTGGAATCAACTACATTTTTGTTTACTTCTACACAATGAGAAATCCAAACTGATTATTAAGCCTAGAAGTGATGTCTGGCTTTCTGACCTCATCCTTCATAAATTCAATAAGGTTGTATCACGATTCAGAAATCATGGCACGAAGTCACTAATTCCCCACAGAGGCTCTTTTGTTACAGTGAAAGATGTATTTAGAGGGATCACTGAAGTGTTACTATAATTTCCCCCAAATTATCTCTTTACTTCTAAGGTCAATGCAGCTATCTGCACTGATAAGAGGTATTAGTATTAGTGAGACGTTCCAATGCAAATACCATATAACACGTAAGACAGAATCATCTCAAATTCAGTCATGAATAATTCTAGTGGGTGTTATCTCTGTGTTCAGTAACTTTCAGTCTTCGATTTTCTAATTTCCTATTAATTAAATAACAATTTGATTAATAAGTATTAAAATTACTTTTTAGATATATACTTAAGTTCCAAAGCTACATGACAATCAATTGTCATGTTTGAGATCACTCTTGACTATATTTATTCAAGCTAAATTTCAGTCATTATTGTTCCCTTTTACTTTGGTAGTCTCCTCTTCTCATTTTATTGCTATGTTAAAAATAAAAATATTATTACATTTAATGACTCAAATGACTTTTTGAAACTAAATAAATTTCAGATTATGCATGTATCTTTGTTGTGTTCATCATATTTTAAAATATGACTGCATATGTTTAGAATCTATTTTCTGTGGTTTCTGAATTCTAAACAGATAATCCAGTGTCTAAACATTTGGACTCTTCCACTTTGGAAACATACATTCTTATTATCATTGAGTTAAACAAAAAAAGTGAATAATGCATGTACCATGTGTATATTTACATAGTAGGTCCAGTTAGACGCATGTATTCCACATAAAACAAAACAAAAAAAATTAAAATCAATCATAGAATTTCTTCTTCTCAGTTAACAGAATGGACTGACTAAAATTGAAGTTTGAGAATCAAACGTACACTATTCCAAACTTTATTAGCAATATCGTTTTGGGATTAAAAATATGAAAAAAAAAAAAACAAAAAAAAAATGACAGATGCTCAAAATGGCAATGTATGGACATCAAACTATCTACAAACGTCATTGTATGCCTGTCCATCAATGTTAAAAGAGGCCGAAAGTCACATAGACATTATGCAATGAAGGACAGGTCAGTTTCAATATGAATGGGTAGTGTACCTTACCCTTGTTTTGCTAGCCATCATTCAGAACAAGAGGTAAAAGGACAGAGACTACATAAAGCTTCAATATAGCCAAAATTTTCAAGATCAGAATAATTTTTTTTTTCGTTTTTTACCTTAAGCCTGATACCTCCAAATGGCTTTTATGCTGCAAGACTTAACACAGTGGGAAACAGCCATTAGAATCTGCACTGGGGACAGCCACTCAGCATCTTTTCTCCAAGAATAACCAAATTGTGGCAATCCTACACATACCACCACTGATTTTTAAAGCTCTTTCTAAGTTCCTAGTATCCTAGCTTGGATTTTTTGGGCCTTTTCAACAATGTAATCTTGCCATTCTAGTCTTCCAATTATTCCAACCACACATTTTAAAGTCCAAAACAAGACCATATTCTAAAATCCAGAGAAACTTTCATAATAAAATGTGTTGATAATGACAGTTGTGAATACTTTTGCCAATTTAAAACCCCAAAACTTTGGCATAGCCATAATTTTTATACTTAAATTCAATATTTTATTCATTTTGTGAGATGCACACAGAACTATTTCAATAACATTCAAATTAAAATAACTGTGCAGAGCCTTCTATATGTTCTCCTAAATGAAATAAAACACAGTGCCTTCTCTACATTTTCTCACGACTAAAAGCAAATTTACTGAATATACCAACCACCTGCATCACCGGCATAAATCTCATCTCTCTTCAAGCACATTATGTGGGTCACATTTTGTTTTGTTTTGGTTTGGTTTCCTCTATTTTACTTACTGTTAAAAGATCTGTATCTGAAATTTATATAAAGAGATTTAGATTGTAAAAAATATGAAATAGAAATGAAAGCCCTGTTCTGTCTTAAACCAAACTCAGTGTTTGGCTAAATTGGCATGTAAACCAGTTCTTTCTGACACCTACAGTGAATTACCATAAACCTCATGGAGGAGGTAGCCTTGAACAGACTCACTGAGAGTGGAACTTTAGCCTGTAATTTTTATTTTCAGTCATCTGTCGCAAGATAGGCAAACTTCTAAGAAACGTCCCTTGTATTATTATGTCAATCTTACCAGTGGTTTTTAATTTTTTTCCAGGGCCTTGAATCTCTCGTATTTTCTTTTTTTCTCCTGCTTCCTTAAATAAAATCCAAATTCCCCAGAGAATTTTGTAAAATTCCCAATCTTACTGCAGCTTCCTCTTCTGTCTTTCTGGTCCTCTCTGTTCAATATGCACTGCTCAGTTTCCAGACCTGACAACTTTTTGTCTGGTAGCAAAAATAATGCATGATCAATAGTAAAATTGTAGAAAGAGTGGATCAAGGAAACCAGGCACCCAGAGATAAATGGCTGGATGTCTAGAAGGAAGCTTGCTGGATCAAAGGGTATCCAAGTTTTCACAGCCTTTACATCACCAAATTGCCCTGCAGAATGGCTCTATTAATTTGCACTCTGCCAACATAGTTAATGGGCTGTAGTGTAATTGTCTGTTTATCTATCTATTTTCCTCATTAGGGTATATACTCTTCAAGGACTTTTTAATCTCTCAATGCCCACCCAGCATCTAACATTTAGCCTGATAGAATAGGCATTCATTAACCCACTTCCCTTTCCCACCTCTAAATTCTTTGAAGCCCCAAACAAGTGAAGTAAGATCATAGAATATATGCATGAGTGATAAGGTATGGAAAGCAGCAAAATATTCTAGAATTTTTCACTAAAAGATAACACACACATAAGCTCTTGTAACGTTTCACATCTTTCTTTTAAGTCTAACATACAAAATGCAGCCGTTTTTGAAGGTTGCTTTAGATAACCCTATGGAAAGTGTTGTTCAAGTTAATTTAGCATTGAACACTGAAGTACCATAAATGCATGGGTATGTATGGAGGGACGTTTAAAATAAATATCTTCCAAAATCCAGCTATATTTGTAAATGATATTTCAGTAACTTCCTTCAGGGTGAAAATTTTGAGAGCATGTTACTAAGACAATCACTGAAAAATATTATGTAAGATTATAGTTTTGTTTCTGGGACAAAAATAAATAAATCTCTAAAAATCCTCAAGGAATGGATCTACTTTGAATGCAAAATCTTCAGTAAAGTTATGATGTAAATATTGCAATGCTTTTTTTGTGAAGAACGAGAGTTTATAAAGATAAAAAAAATCCATAATAGCTTACTTAAACATGACTAGAACAAATATCTATGATTTGAAGGAATGCATTATGGTAAGGATACAAAGATTTAATAAGATGAACAACAATTGATAAACTTGCATTCTACATATTCTACAGAAACGATAGGCATATGAAGAGATAAGCTAAAATATAGTAAGACAACGGCCATGATAGAGATTAAAAATAAAATTCTATGGGGAAAAGAGGAAACAGTTCGCCTTAGAATGATTTCATGTGTCAAGGTCCAGTTGAGATGTCATTTCCATTTCAAACATTTTTCTAACGATCCCTACTGGGAATGATGCTCATAACTACATGAGTAATTTAGCTGCACCTTTTCTTACATGAAAAACATTTATTGAGTATGTGCCATATGTCGAATACATAGCTGTGGACAAATACTTCAAGCTGACAAAAAACTTCGGTGTCTTTTGTTACAGATTTTATATGTAACAATTTAAGTTTAGCCTATGCTTTATCAATGTTTACATATATTTTATGTGTTCATCAATAACATTGAAAAGATGGATTGTTTTTGTTTTACACTGTGCTTAGTAAATATATTTTGAATTAATAAATAATTGATGCGTAATGAATTTAGATATTCAGTTATTCATAGAGAGCCAAGTTATATTATTTACAAAACAATGAATCTAAGCCACAGTCACCTGGCAGTCAAAAAGTATTTGGCAAAACCATAGTTGGGTCAAAATTAGAAGAGGGACAAAATGACATGAAGGATTAAAATGGTTAAGAAATAGTTAAAGAAAAAAACAAAGAATCTCCTCAAAAAGTGGGCTAAGGACATGAATAGACAATTCTCAAAAGAAGATACACAAATGGCCAACAAGCATATGAAAAAATGCTCAACATCACTAATGATTAGAGAAATGCAAATTAAAACTACAGTGTGATACCACCTTAGTCTTGACAATACTGAATTATGGCAAATATTATCAAGAATGGCCATTATCAAAAATAAAAAAAATAGATGTTGGCATGGATGCAGTAAAAAAGGAATACTTCTACACTGCTGGTATATGGACAATTACACTACAGCCCATTAACTATGTTGGCAGAGTGCAAATTAATAGAGCCATTCTGCAGGGCAATTTGGTGATGTAAAGGCTGTGAAAACTTGGATACCCTTTGATCCAGCAAGCTTCCTTCTAGACATCCAGCCATTTATCTCTGGGTGCCTGGTTTCCTTGATCCACTCTTTCTACAATTTTACTATTGATCATGCATTATTTTTGCTACCAGACAAAAAGTTGTCAGGTCTGGAAACTGAGCAGTGCATATTGAACAGAGAGGACCAGAAAGACAGAAGAGGAAGCTGCAGTAAGATTGGGAATTTTACAAAATTCTCTGGGGAATTTGGATTTTATTTAAGGAAGCAGGAGAAAAAAAGAAAATACGAGAGATTCAAGGCCCTGGAAAAAAATTAAAAACCTCTGGTAAGATTGACGTAATAATACAAGGGACGTTTCTTAGAAGTTTGCCTATCTTGCGACAGATGACTGAAAATAAAAATTACAGACTAAAGTTCCACTCTCAGTGAGTCTGTTCAAGGCTACCTCCTCCATGAGGTTTATGGTAATTCACTGCAGGTGTCAGAAAGAACTGGTTTACATGCCAGTTTAGCCAAACACTGAGTTTGGTTTAAGACAGAACAGGGCTTTCATTTCTATTTCATATTTTTTACAATCTAAATCTCTTTATATAAATTTCAGATACAGATCTTTTAAAAAATGTTCTATTTGAAACTGGGGTGGTATTTACATAACTCTAAGCATTTGTCAAAACCCATAGAACTTTACATCACACAAAATGATCTCTAATGTATACAAATTAAAAAAAAATCAACCAGGATACCAAGGAATTCCAGACTAGAACAGAGTCTAACATACAAATCTAACAGTGTTACTAATGTATGATATAAACAATCTGAAGGGATTGGGAGGTGACTTAAACTTTGGAAAACTGCCCAGGCACGGTGGCTCACTCCTTTAATCCCAGCACTTTGGGAGCCTGAGGGGTGGGTCGTTTGAGCCCAGGAGTTTGAGACCAGCCTGGGCAACATGGAGAAACCCTGTCTCTACACAAAATTCAAAAATTAGCTGGGTGTAGTGGCACGTGCCTGTAGTCCCAGCAACTCTGGAGGCTGAGGTCCCTTGAGTCTGGAAGGTCAAGGCTGCAGTGAGTTGAGATCATGCCACTGCACTCCAGCTTTGGCGAAAGAGTGAGACCCTGTCAAAAAACAAACAAACAAAAAACAAAAATAAAACAAAAACAAAAATATAAATAAAAAATTAAAATCCGCGAAAGAAAAGAAAGAAAGAAAAAAAAGAAGAGAAAAGAAAAGAAAGGAGGGAGGGAGGAGAAAGTAAGGAAAAAAAATACTTGGGAAAACCATGTTTTGATTGAAAACTATAAGGCTAAAGACAAAAGAACTGTACCTAAGGATCATACTCTCCTCGGTTAATTTTTTCCTTACAGAGTCACAAGTTAACAATTCTGAAATTACATTGTATGTGTCCTAGGGTTGAACAAATAAGAGAATAAATGGCAGATCATGGAAGCCAGGTTTCTCCCTGTCAGAGAACGTTACAAAGTTACAAATAAGCAAGGCATTGAGGCTAGAATGAACACTAGGATATTGGATTAGCTTCAGACAGTATGAATTCATGTTTAGTTTAATATATATATATTGAACCATATGTTTATACAAACACGGATGGATACAGAGATAATTGCAAGTATTACATATGCATGGGTGACTAAACACTCATACATTTCCTAGCTCTGTCCACTGAGAGGGCCTAGCAGCAGTGACACCCCATTAGCAATGAATATACCCAGAGTACAGATCTTGACTCCAAGTAATCATTGTCCAGTAAAACAAACCAAGGCTGCTTGGAAAAATGTCAAGCCTAACGTTTTTAGGCCTACATTGGCCCTAAATTATATTATGCCATTTAAATGTGGAAAATTAGCTTCCAATATAATTTAGGTGTTTGTTACCAATGTGCCTAGATAGCATATGTTAAGAAGCAGGGAAAGAAGGCTACTCATTACGTCTGCAAGTCTTTTTCACCACAATTCTTTTGTCCACTATTAATTGCAAACACCTATCACTGCAAATAAATAATTACATTTAAATTGCTTTCTAGGGTCCTGGCAATGACTTAAATAAAACCTGGGGAAATGAAAACCCAAAGGGAAAAAGAGACAGGACTTCTCACCAGTGCACCCCACACCAGCTCTACTCACATTCTATTTCCACCATCAAGGTAAGAAACGAAATTGCATCACCATTAGATTAAATCCAAAAGATTGTTCCAGGATTCTCAAGGTCGTGGCTAATAAGCAAAGAGCAGCAAAATAGCAGGAAGGATGCTGGGCTTGTTATACCAAGAATTGAAAAGAATACGGGGTTAGAGAGCCGTGGATTTTTATACTGTTGACCTCTTCCTTTTTGAAATTCTTTCCTTTTTATGGTTGAAGAATACACATAATTCTTATCTTTCTTGCTTTTTTTTTTAGTTGCAAAGGCTATTTTATTTTTATTTTTATTTATTTATTTTTTAAATTGGGTAATCACTCTGTGATTCTCCCCATGCACACGGTTAAATAAATTTGTACACCTTTTCTCTTATTAGTCAGCCTTACTGTGAGGCAATAATGGTTCGATGATTTTTTATTTTATTTTATTATTATACTTTAAGTTTTAGGGTACATGTGCACATTGTGCAGGTTAGTTACATATGTATACATGTGCCATGCTGGTGCACTGCACCCATTAACTCGTCATCTAGCATTGGGTATATCTCCCAATACTATCCCTACCTCCTCCCCCAACCCCACAACAGTCCCCAGAGCGTGATGTTCCCCTTCCTGTGTCCATGTGATCTCATGTTCAATTCCCACCTATGAGTGAGAATATGCGGTGTTTGGTTTTTTGTTCTTGCGATAGTTTGCTGAGAATGATGATTTCCAATTTCATCCATGTCCCCACAAAGGACATGAACTCATCATTTTTTATGGCTGCATAGTATTCCATGGTGTATATGTGCCACATTTTCTTAATCCAGTCTATCATTATTGGACATTTGAGTTGGTTCCAAGTCTTTGCTATTGTGAATAATGCCGCAATAAACATACGTGTGCATGTGTCTTTATAGCAGCATGATTTATAGTCCTTTGGGTATATACCCAGTAATGGGATGGCTGGGTCAAATGGTATTTCTAGTTCTAGATCCCTGAGGAATCGCCACACTGACTTCCACAATGGTTGAACTAGTTTACAGTCCCACCAACAGGGTAAAGGTGTTCCTATTTCTCCACATCCTCTCCAGCACCTGTTGTTTCCTGACTTTTTAACGATTGCCATTCTAACTGCTGTGAGATGGTATCTCATTGTGGTTTTGATTTGCATTTCTCTGATGGCCAGTGATGATGAGCATTTTTTCATGTGTTTTTTGGCTGCATAAATGTCTTCTTTTGAGAAATGTCTGTTCATGTCCTTCGCCCACTTTTTGATGGGGTTGTTTGTTTTTTTCTTGTAAATTTGTTTGAGTTCATTGTAGATTCTGGATATTAGCCCTTTTTCAGATGAGTAGGATGCGAAAATTTTCTCCCATTTTGTAGGTTACCTGTTCACTCTGATGGTAGTTTCTTTTGCTGTGCAGAAGCTCTTTAGTTTATTTAGATCCCATTTGTCAATTTTGGCTTTTGTTGCCATTGCTTTTGGTGTTTTAGACATGAAGTCCTTGCCCATGCCTATGTCCTGAATGGTAATGCCTAGGTTTTCTTCTAGGGTTTTTATGGTTTTAGGTCTAACGTTTAAGTCTTTAATCCATCTTGAATTGATTTTTGTATAAGGTGTAAGGAAGGGATCCAGTTTCAGCTTTCTACATATGGCTAGCCAATTTTCCCAGCACCATTTATTAAATAGGGAATCCTTTCCCCATTGCTTGTTTTTCTCAGGTTTGTCAAAGATCAGATAGTTGTAGATATGGGGCATTATTTCTGAGGGCTCTGTTCTGTTCCATTGATCTATATCTCTGTTTTGGTACCAGTACCATGCTGTTTTGGTTACTGTAGCCTTGTAGTATAGTTTGAAGTCAGGTAGTGTGATGCCTCCAGCTTTCAAACCAAAGGCAAAGAAGTTGAAAACTTTGAAAAAATTTTAGAAGAATTTATAACTAAAATCACCAATACAGAGAAGTGCTTAAAGGAGCTGATGGAGCTGAAAACCAAGGCTCGAGAACTACGTGAAGAATGCAGAAGCCTCAGGAGCCGATGCGATCAACTGGAAGAAAGGGTATCAGCAATGGAAGATGAAATGAATGAAATGAAGTGAGAAGGGAAGTTTCTTGCTTTTTTGACTACTCTTCTGGCTCCCACTTTTGAGAAACGCTTATCACTTGTCTGCTCTGCAGTTGCTTTCTTGTTTCTTCCTTCTCTCCTTTGAACACTGTTTTTGCTTTTCCTAATTCTTGCTCTTCTAAATATATCTTTACCCAAAACTGTATCCCTGCCTCTCTTGGTCGATTTGTGCTGATATAACAAAATACTGCCAACAGGGTAATTTATAAACAATGGAAATTTATTTCTCACAGTTCTAAGGGCTGGGTAGTCCAAGTTCAAAATACCAGCAGGTTCAGTGTCTGGTGAGGGCCCCAGTCTCTGCTTCCAAGATGATGCCTTGAAGGCTCTGTCTTCACATGGCACAAGAGTCTGAAGGGTAGGCCAGGAGCGGTGGCTCATGCCTTTAATCCTAGCACTTTGGGAGGCTGAGGTGCATGGATCACTGGAGGTCAGGAGTTTGAGACCAGCCTGGCCAACATGGTGAAACCCCATCTCTACTAAAAATACAAAATTAGCCAGGTGTGGTGATGCATGGCTGTAATCCCAGTTACTCGGGAGGCTGAGGCAGGAGAATCACTTGACCCAGGAGATGGTGGTTGTTGTAGTGAGCCAAGATGGTGCCACTGCACTCCAGCCTGGATGACAGTGCGAGACTCCGTCTAAAAGAGTCTGAAAGGTAAGAGGGAATGAACACTGTGTCCTCACTTGGTGGAAGAGCAGAAGACCTACAGGGACTGAATTCATTCCCTCAACCTTTATAATCTCATCCATGAGGGTGGAACCCTCATGGCCTAATTACCTCCTAAATGCCCCACCTTTTAGTACTATTGTACTTGGGGTTAAGTTTCAATATTAATTTTAGAGGGAACATAAACATTCAAACCATAGTACTGCTCCTCTTTTCTTCTATCTCCCCATCGCTCTCCCTGTAAACTCATTCAACCTAAAATTCTCACAATCAACACTTTTTTAAAAAGACAAATAACAACTTATTTTTTCAGCATCAATAGTGTCCTGAAGATAAACTCTCACATTTTCTTCTGCCTACCAGATAACTTTAAAATGTACTGCTTTTCAAACCAAATTTACAATGTTCCCTCTGACACCAGCTCCACCCTCTGACTTTTCTATTTGTTAATGCTATCACAGTTCCTCAAGTCTCCCATAGTCATTTATGAGTATCAACACCCCATGCTATTCTGTCTCCACCAATGTAATCAACGAAAAGGATTTTATCACATAAGACTAAGTAAAAGAAAGGGCGTTTATTATCTCCACTATCACAAACTCTAAATTTACAACTCTTCTAACAAAGCTAGAACTCCTAGTGATTACATAAAATACATCTTTATCTTTGAAATACTGATTGTTATGAACCATTAAAGACAAACTTGATAAAGCAAGCATTTGTTGATTTATACAGACTAACGGGTTGGATTCCTTAACATAGACTTAGGGATTGACAAGTCTATCATACACTAACTTATGAAGCTACAAGACAATATAATATCTGTGTAAAATTCACAACACCTTTGAAATAGGAATGGGAAAGAGGAACACATTTGAAATTTATGTGACATTATTCCTCATTTGTGTTGTGTGTTATATTTTTTAATTAAAATGTTTATTTTTAAATGTCTAAAAATTTTTAAAGGGGTAATTAAAAATATTTGCAGTGGGTTTATAAATAATGCCTCCCAACATACCCATGGATAACAACCTATGTTCTAGGTACATGACTTTTACTTTGGGATTCAATTCACTAGTTATAGGAATTCATCAGATCATGTTATAAGGGTTAACTGTAAAATAGGCCGTATCCATATGTAGTAGTATAATAAATTCTTCTTCCTCTAATTAAATGTGTCAGTCAGAAATTTATACTTAAATTTTAGTGCTAATAACATATTCGATCCATAGCCATTTTACTTAGCTGATATATTTCTACTGCTTAGGGAATCAAATTTATAAAGTGTTATATTTCCCTCAGGAAGATATACCCATTCCTACAATTTGTCATATTGAAGATAGGATGATGTTACCTTCACCTTAACTACAGAGTTTCTGGCAATGTCCAAATATACCAACAGTTTAGACTTTGTTGGAAATGATCTCCAATCAAGAGGAACGTATGGTGAGTGTTTGGGGATGTATAACCTGAGTACCGGAGGCTTACATGCCTGTGCAACATACCCAGGATCAACTTGTGAAAACCATGTGCAATATTAAATGAGCCCGTCATTTTGCATTTAATGTAAGAGCAAAATGGTTGCTAGATTTCACTTTTAAAAATCTCTTAAAAAGAAAAAAGAAAAAAATTCTTCCTGGATAATTCTAGAAGAAAGAATCTCTTTTCTTTTAAGACAAGAAAGGAAATAAATGGGTTGGACTAAAGTGAGAGAAGTGTTTTAAAATTACCTTTGGGCAACTATCAGATTCTAACAGCAATGTAAGAATATTAAAAAGAAATTTTTAGATAGGTAAGAGAAATAAGTATTAACTCATTCTGAAACTCTCATTTTTAGGCAACAAAAAGTATTCCGTGCCCTCTATAATCTAGACCATACGTCTTTCATACAGAGAAACCAGGTCATAGAACAGTGACGTGTGTGCTTATCACAAAGAAGTTACCTTCAAATGTTAGTTTATTTAGTAGGCTCTTATCTGTAGCTTTATTATTTAAAATAAGCAAGAGTATTATTTGATTTAGAGTTGCTCAAGACAAAAGTTAGGTTTTTTTTTCCCTAAGTTCAGATATCAAGTTTATAGTCATTTTTTGTGTGCAAAATCATGGCTTCCCTAGAAATTAACAATATAATAAATGCTTCATTTATTATATGAAGCATTTATTATATGAAGCATTTATTATATGAAGCAATGCACAAAAAGAGTGCAAATAGGTGCTTTTTAGAAACTTACAAATATCATACCTATGTCTAGTATAATTCTTACTAATTCCAGCTGACACAAGCTATTTGTTTGATTTCTAAGGTCCCTGTAAGCAGCACTTGCATGCTGACTCTTATCACTGGCTGGGTCCAACTACTGGTCAGCTTTTGCCTCTGGAACCTTAATGCTGCAGACTAGCTTTGCTGTTAAATTCATTTTAATTAAATGCCTGAGCCTTGTTAGAAAGATGTTATTAATTTTGACACCAGCCTTCCTCACAAGACCCATTCAGTACTGCCATGGAATCTCTGTCTGGGGAAGGAACTGGCCCTCTGTTCCCTGAAGCTTGTTTCTTTCTCCATGATAGTTCCTCTAGTGGGTTCCCCAAATGGCCTCATTACTGGCAGGAGGCAGATGATTAGCTTGAATATCTCTCCCATGCCATATGAATCATTTATTGGGCACCTGCCAGGTGTCACATACTAAGCTAAATGCTTTCTTTCTATATTATCTCATTCATGCTACAGATATTTACTAAAAGACCAGGCACTTCTCTCAGAACAAAAACACAGTATCAAACAAGAAAGACACATTCCCTTTCCTCAGGGACCTGACGCATCTTACCTTTGTGCATGGTATGGATGGTAATTAAAGCAGGTGGGCTGGTAGAGACTATTGATTACAATTTTACACACCTCTGGATCATTTGAATTGATCACATGATATATTGCTTTTGTAACTGAGACAAGATAAGTTTCTTTTAAAAAAGTTATTAAGGAGATTGTGGTGGTTATCATCAAACCTAATTGCAACAGCGAAGTGAAAACTGTTGAGATCCTTCCGAGAAGAGTCATCTTAAACAAAGCCATATTTTGCGGGTAAATAGAAGTAGAATTAGGTGTTGAAAAGAGAAAAAGGAGAAATGGCAGGTCAGGATAGTTTTGCAGAGTAGTCTTGGGAAACAAAATGGAAATTGAGGCCCCATATGCAAGTATCTCTGAATACTTGAGGGGCCTTCACCAAACTTGAAAACTCTGCTTTATTCTGATGCGCTCTGGAATCCTTAGCATGGAAGAAAGCCCAACACTATTAATTGAATCAATTTATCAGCTAACTCATTTATTCTCTCTCTCTCTTTTGAGAACTTATTATAGTCTCTAATATTATGCAAGAGATGCAGTGGCAACATAGAACTAAATCTCTTCCCTCCTAGACGTGTGTGTCAGGATAGAGGGAGTGAAGTACGTTAAGATAAGCACAAAATTATATGTGATGATTTTAGATAATGGCAAATTTTAAGGAGAAAATAAAATGGTAGAGGAGATGTAACTAGGATAAGGTCATGTCAGAGGATGCCACTGAGATGATCTGAGAACACCAGGTACTAGGAGATATGAAGAAGGAGATGTGAACTGTTCCAGGTGGGAATAACAACAAGGACAAGAGCTTGTGTCAGGAGCAAGTTTAGTGTGTCCATGAGACCTACAGAATCAGAGTCTATCTAGTTGGACAGACACGGTCATGACTGGTAAGAATATAGAGTTACGGTAGGGCTCCATGAGGTAGGATCTGGTATGCCCTGGTAAGAAGTGTGGATCCCTTTCTATTTGCAATGAGAAGCCCTGGGATACAGTGTCATGACCTGATGCTAACTTTAAAACATGACTGCTACACTATTCACAGTAGCAAAGACATGGAATCAACCTAAACATCCATCAGTGGCAGATTGCATAAAGAAAATATGGTACATATACACCACGGAATGCTATGCAGCCATAAAAAAGAACAAGGTCATGTCCTTTGCAGGAACATGGATGGAGCTGGAGGCCGTTGTCTTTAGCAAATTAATGAGGAACATAAAACCAAATAGTGCATGTTCTCACTTATAAGTGGGAGCTAAATGATAAAACACATGAACACAAAGAAGGAACAATGATGGAACCTGCTTGAGGGTAGCAGATGGGAGGAGGGAGAGGATCAGGAAAAATAACTATTGGGTACTAGGCTTAGTACCTGGTGATAAAATAATCTGTATAACAAGCCCCTGTGACATGAGTTTACCTTATATAGCTAACCTGAACATGTACCCCTGAAGCTATAATAAAAGCTTTTTAAAATCTGGCTGCCAGACAATGCATTGCCAAGTGTAAGAAAGGCTGCAGGGAGACCAGATAGGAGGCTACTGCAGAATCCAGGCAAGACATGATGGTGGCTGAGAGTAAGGTGGAGCAGTGGAGATGGTAATGCTCACATTGGGGATAGATTCTGAAGGCAGACGTGTCAGAGTGTGCACAGTGAGAGAAAGAGGATTCAAGGATGCCTCTGTGTTCTTTTGTATTAACACTTCATGGATAGTGAGGCCTTACTAGAATTAGGGATGATTGAGGTAGGAACTGGTTTCATGAAGGGTTGAAATCTGAAAAGTCTTCAGATAGACTCTGGTTTATAATAATACGTTGTATTCATTATGCTAGTGAAATACTGACAGATTTTTTTCATCTCAAGCTCCAGATCGGTCTGCATCAAGGTCTCCCAAGTGTGCACTATTGACAGGTGGGGCCAGATGATTATTTGTCATAGGGGCTGTCTTGTGCACAGAATGCTTTGTAGCATCCCTGTGGCCTCTACCCAAATGATACCAATAGCACCCTTCAGGTTGTAACATATAAAAAGGCTTCCAGATATTGTCAAATATAAAATCTCCCCAGTTGAGAACCATTGCTCTATATGTATGGAACAAGAGCAGAATACCAAAGTCAGGACAGACCTCTTCTCTAGTCTAAGGAAAATCGTTTCTCTGACTATAACAGAGATGAGCTGCTAGTCACTCCTCCCACCAAAAATTAAAAAGAAAGAGGCAATGTTAAACAGAATTAAAATGTAGTGCATTAACTGTCAGTATTTTGTAAATTAGAATTAGGCAGAATTTTCCAATGTTTAAGCTTTCTAACAGAAAATCCTGTGGCAAATAGCAATGTGAACAGTAAACAGTTCAGTGACTGTTTACATAAGTGTGTGACCATATGACCTCCCTCATTAATTAAAAAAAAAAATCACAAAATGTCCTTTTCTCTAAAAAAAAAAGTAGTTAAAGGGTGTATGTTTAGCAAATGGTTGGATTTTTTTCTACATTTTGTTGTATTATTGTTTTACATGAAGCTACAATTTTGTAGCTTTTGTTGAATCCATGCCAGCCTTTAGTGTTTTGAGAAGCAGTGGAGAATTTTTAGCACAAAGTTAGGTTTCAGATTTTGAAAAATAAATCTGAAATTCGATGGCATAATTTTTCTGTATTTTAAAAAGTAATTAAGAAGACATTCTGGAAACAAACACAAATCATTTCTAAGTGGCTGCTGCGGTAGGCAGAATAACAGACCCCCATATTTCTTAGTCATGGGAATCTGTTAATAGGTTATGTTGCATGGCCAAAAGGATTTTGCAGAGGTGAAAAAATTAAGGATCCTGAGATGAGGACATTATCTGGGATCACATGGGTGGGCCCAGAGTAATCAGAAGAATGCTTAAATGATGGAAGCTGGAGGCAAAGATGGGAGAAAAAGGCACGAGCCAAGGGCTGCTGATGTCCTCCAGCAGCTGGACAGGGCCAAGGAATGGATTGTTCCCTAGAGCCTCCAAGAAGAATCGCAGCACTGAGAACACCTTGATTTTAGCCCAGTAAGGCCCATTTTGGACTTTTGACTTCCACAACTGTAATAGGATAAATCTGTGTTGTTTTAAGCCATATTTGCAGTAATTTCTTACAGCAGTTATAAGAAATGGATGCATTGCTTTATGAGAATACAGGTTACAACTGTTGCTATTCTTAATTATAAAAACAGATCTTTGGATTAACCATTGTATCACAGTTTGATAAATACTAAAAAGCTATGAAAAATCCATTTGGGTGTTTCTGTTCATAAGTGTTTTTTACTGGCAAATTTTAAGTTCCAAATGGCATTCTGTTATCACATACCTCAAAACATCTTCAGGAAGCATCAGGGTACTATTGAAATTTCCTCAGTGACAAATAATCTCTTTTGATATTTCAAAAAGGCTTTTATGTAAATAATGTCAGAGATTTGAAAAACAGCATTGAGCACTTCTATTTGATTCAAAGATCATAAATTTGAATACATGAATTCATATAAATTAGCAATCAGTCTGAAAACTTGTTTTATTTATTTCTTTTGTGCCTCTTATCTAGAAAAATAGAAACTACATTAATCAAAAAATAAATGCAGTGAAAATGAAATGCAAAATCTTCATTAATACACTGGGGGTAAAATTTCAAGTATATAAGTAAAAAAAAAGTCTAACATTTGAATCTCCATCACCATAATTTTGTGCTTTTGCTTTCCTTCACTCAAACTGATTCTCATTCAGAAATTAAGAGGATATTTCACTTCCTTGTACTGGTAATGGTGACTTACAATAAGTAAAACCAGTAGTCTCTACAAGGGAAAAATACTATAAACTTGTAAATTCTTCTTGGACTAAAAAGTGGAACTCACTGAAGATGTGCTTTAACACCTGACTTCCAATCTGTTTTGATACATGAGAGACGTTGGAAAAAAGACAAAATGTGTCTGACATCAAAATTTACTCTATAGTGAAGTGTTATTGTGAAATCCCAGTGCGACGTTTAGTCTGGTGTCATGCAAATATTTTTGGAAAAGACGATGAGCACAGATCAAACAGGTTATTTTAAGGACAACTGATTATCCTCTATGAAGTCATTACAGTTGAATAAACTCGAACTGTGATATTTTGATCTGTGTTGTATTACCTTAAAGAGCTAAGGGGAGTATAATTAATAGGCTAAGATCAAAGCTAGGAACTTTACAAATAATTTCTTATTTAATCCTCACAACACCCTCTTGAGACAGGTGTTAGTCACCCCACTCTGTAGTTGAAAAACTTGGAGCTCTGAGTATTTAAATAACTTGCCAAAGTTCAGACAAATTGTAAGTGACAAAGTCAGAATTCAGAAACGTGCAGACAGAGTCTGTCTCATGCTAGAGCATGTGTTGTCGGCTATACTTTGTGTCTCCCGTTATTCCCTGCCTCTTCCTCATTTTAGAGACATCATGCACCACTGCTCAAAGGATTAGTGATGTCATACAAAACCTAAACTCAAAGTAGCGGTGAAAAAATTTTTAACTGTCCTGCTTTCACTTAGGAAAAAAAAATGAATAGCTGAAATAAAGATTTTAAAATATCAAAGTAAATTCAAATAAGTTACCATAGAGGCCATGTGTGGTGACTCACATCTGTAATCCCAGCAATTTGGGAGGCAGAGGCAGGAGGATCAATTGAGCCCAGGAGTTCAAGACCAGCCTGGGCAACATGGCAAAACCCCGTCTCATTTTGAGGCAAAACCTTGTTTTATTTTGAGGCCTCTCAGTTTGACTTGTAGATTGTCGTCTTCTCCATGTAGGTTCACGCAGTTTTCCGTGTGTGTGTGTGTCCTTATCTCTTCTTATAAAGATACCAATCATATTGGATTTGGACTAACCCTAACATCTCCATTTTAGTTACCTCTTTGAAGGCCCTCTCTCCAGATATAGTCACATCCTGAGATACTAGAGTTAGGGCTTCAACATATGAATTTAGGGGTTACACAATTCAGCCCATAACAGTAAGTTTTTGGGGTACCTGGTTATGCAGCAATATATAACTAGAAAAACAATTGGACTATTCTATAATAAAAACTAGCCAAATTTATATTCTCCAGCATATTTATGTAGGAAATATACTGATGTCAGCAGTGCACAAGGCAATTGTGGTTGGAAAAATAGTAGTAATACTTTTTCTTCGTAATAGTGGCATGCATCCTCATAAAAAATAACAGCAAGAAGAATGATGAGCACCTTCATGTAGCAAGACATGTCTATGAGCCACACCACTTGCTAAGTACTTGGCAGACAAGATCTCATTTAATTCTTACAACAATGTAACAATAAGGTAGTATCATCTTTGGGTTATAGTCAAGACAACTTGAGGCTATGTGAAAATAGAAGGAAGAAGAGATAATGAAGAAAGTGGTGTCCCAAAACCTTAAGAAAGTCAGGGTGCTTCACTTGGGAGGCAGTTAAGGATTCAAATCCTGAATCTTCCAAACACTTTTATCTTGAGAAACATCATATAAGTGACTTGCCTAAAGTCAAGTAAGGCTCAGGTGAGGCTGAGCTGAGATCAAAATTGCCATCTCCCACCTCAGGTTACTGTGTTCCTTCCATTGCAGTGGTCCTCTTTTGAAAAACATTCTTTTAAAACCAGCTGTGGAGTATACCAGGAAAAATGTGTTCATTTCCTTATCTCTTTCATTCCTCCGTTGTATTCAAAAATTACAAAACCATGCCACTCACTGGAAAGAACATATTTAGAGAGAATGCAGCCCTAGGTCTGTAGAAAATACCCCTCAGTTAAGAAACATGCTAGGAAAATTATTGGTTCACCATTTAAAATTGCCCTGTATTTGAAATATTCAGATGCATGGACATCCATGAATGTATTAATATGTTAAGTTTCTAAGAAATCATAGGGATGTGAGGCCAGGCATGGATTCTGAAGTGACTGCAATGCCATTTTAGGTGAACTCCTTATGAAGCATTTGTATTTTAGAAGTAACAGTTGACAATAGCACCAAGGAAAGAAATCACTGGATCTTTGTTCTACATCAAATGACTGATTGCTGATACTATCATGTTAGCAGAGGATTTTTGTGTTTCAAATCTCTCCTTCTTAGCTATGACAGCCTCATGGGGTGGCAGATGGACCATGCCAGATAGAAGTCTACCACTACTGACAAAACTGGACAGGTTAGTTGAACTGCAAACACATGCCACATCTCTGTGCTCTATCTAAGCTCCAACTGAGGGAAATCATTTTCTCAAAGGTCATCAATGTTCTATACTGATTTGAACCTGTTTTTCCCTTTTGAAGTTAAACTGGAGAATCAGACCATCGACTGGCAATGTGTAGGGATGTGTGAAACATTTTCCAACCGTGGGCTGTAAAAAGAAAGGGACTTGAAGCAGATGGTGTGCAGTATTAAAGGGCTAATCACTTTCAATGTATTTTGCTACATTACTTAGTAGCACGGGTATATTAAAAGGAGCTGAATTGTTAAAGGTCTTGTACCCCAACCAAAAATTAAGTTTTAAAATGGTGCAGGAAGACTGCCTTACTCAATTGAGCACTACATAAAGAATAGAAGCAGTTCCGAACTTCTCTCCTCCTACTTGCAGCCAACAGTATTTGTGGGTTGTGGAAAAGGGAAAGGGAATAGAGAGAAATATTTGCATTTAATGTTGTTGTTGGCCAGAGGAGATATCACTTAGATATACTCGAAAGAGGGTTCAGTCAGGTTAAAATCTGACATCAATCCATTTTCTTTGTCTTGGATTATGTTTGGTTTGGTGTGTCTGCTCGTCTCTCAAATAATATTAATAGTATGAAAAGTGCCCTTCAGCAACAACTTGGTGAGACAAATACTTCTATGTAGTACCAGATATTTGCCTAGGGATTTCTTTGTCCTTTTGGCAGTGAAAGAGAGGGAAAGAGAGACCTTTACATAAATCCTGTATCCCAGTTAACTCCTTCCTTTTCTCCATAAATATCCAAAGTTAAAATATCACTCGTGAGGAGAGGAACATGCTATCAAAAATTTCTGTGTGAAATTGTACACTTAAGTTAAGCAATGCTGTAAGCAAAATTATTAACTTATTATTTTATAATTTTATTCTGTATCTATCATTACAATCATTAATTGAATTATTATTAACTTAATAAAAGAAGCATAAGGAGATATAACTATATAGACAGAAATGTTAACACTTATAATATAGGCTATTAGGATTGAGGGTCTTATCCTAAATATTCAAGTGTGCAGACAACCTAGCTAACATTACTGAAAAAGCATGAGATGAGGTTTGGCAGAGAACAAAAGCTAGTAAATGAAGTCCATGTTTATGAATATGACAAGCGGGCACCATGGGAAGAAGCATTGTGGTCTAACCCAAAAATATTATGCATCAAACTTTTAGCATGTGTGAAGTCTCCCTCAAGTGTGGAAACATTCTTCACTTGATCCTACTCTGCAGAAAATCCATGGAAGGTTTACCAAGGCATTCTCCCGAGTAACCTCAGGGACTTCACTCTGGTTTTCATGTTTCTAATGTGAAGAGGAGAGATGTAAAAATATGTTACCTCGTCTCTGTGTAACTCCTGCTGCCCTTGTGTAATTCTTCAGGTCCATACAGGCTTTGGACCTGGGTCCCACAACAAGACATGGATTCTCTTGCAGCTCATTCTGAAGAAAAGCGTGAGACTGAAAGAAATGTTGATGATTTAAGCTTCAAGAATGAAGTTCCTGCACTGATGGTGAGTGTACACTAAAAGTTGTGGTGCTAGGTACCAGGAATAGAGAGATGAAAAGGACTCAGAGTTAATCATCTTGAAAAGCTCACAGTGGAGCAGGAGAAGCAAATAGGTTACCAGTGATGTCAGCGGTCAAGGCTGTAATAGATGGAGTGTTGATTCCATCCATTTGGGGCATGTTGACAAGGGTTTCCGAGAAGAGTTTATACAAATGGAATGACTAGCCTTTCTTGAGAGCTTATTACAGGACACACATGGTTCTGAGGGCTTTATAATCATTCTAATTTACTCTTTTCAATGAATTATGCAGAAGGCTTTATTAATAACCCTATTTTAGAGATAAGGAAAGTAAGGTTTGAAGATGTTCAGTAGCTTGTCCAACATCCCATAGCTAAAGAATGGCAAAGTCCAACGTCCAACTCCAGTCTGCAGACTTCTCAGTTCACACACAGGCTGTCATGCCCTACCTCAATGTTAGAGAGACGTCAAAGGAACAAACAGAGTTTATTAAACCAACTGTAAAATGTTCCAAGTTTTCTACAAAGAGTTTTCTAGAACAAACTGTAACACATAACACTGTTGTCCAAAGACATTTCACCATAATATAAGCAACCTTGTTTCATGAATTGGGGATATCCTGGAACTATTCCATGTAAATGAAATTTTTGGAAATAGCCTCACTTAAAAAAAAATCAACATACTGAGATATACATTTCAGTCATCTCCTACCCCAACCACTAACCCTGGACAAGCACTGAGGTGTTTTCTGCTAGGCTAAACTTTGGTTTTGCATTTCAAGTAAAGGAATAAGACAGAAGATGTTCCTTTGTTTCTGAACTTTAATTTTTGCTAAAAATTATTTACATTATATATTTTTAGAAATGTTTATTTTTTGACTAACAATTTTTAGAAAAACTTTTAGGTTCAGGGGTACATGTGCAGGTTTGTTACATAGTAAACATACGTAATGGGGGTTTGTGATACAGATTATTGCATCACCCAGGTATTTAGCCTGGTACCCATTAATTATTTTTCCTGATTTTCTCCCTACTCCCACTCTTCACACTCCAAAAGTCCCCATTGTGTGTTGTTCCCTTCTGTGTGTCCATGTGTTCTCATCATTTAGCTTCCACTTATAAGTGAGAACATGCACTATTTGGTTTTCTGTTCCTGTGTTAGTTTGCTAAAGACAATGGCCTCCAGCTCCATCCATGTCCCTGCAAATGAAATGATCTTGTTCTTTTTTATGGCTGCACAGTATTCCATGGTATATATGTACCATGTTTTCTTTTTTCAGTCTATCACTGATGGGAATTTAGGTTGATTCCATGTCTTTGCTATTGCGAACGGCGTTGTGGTGAACATACGCCCATTACTGGGTATATACTAAAAGGAATATAAAACATTCTATTATAAAGATACATGTTTCTGGACCCTACAGCTCTGTATATCTCTGAGATTCATCCATGTCAATTCATGAATCGGTTTTGTGTTCCTTTTTCCTGTTCAGTAGTATTCCTTTGTATGGCTACACTACAATTGTTTACACAGTCTCCTACTGAGGGATAGTTGGGTTGTCTCTAGTTGTTGGCTGTAAATAACATTACTTTCAAAAAGGCATATAGGCACTTGCTTTTCAGAAGAATGCTACAGTGAATCATCCCACCACTTACCTGCTTTTCAAAACTTGCAGAGTCCACCACTCTTTGGTTTTGGACACATCAGGCCATTGATTCTGGCTTCAAGGACTCCGCCTCTGCTCATCGGTACCCTTAAGCTTTGACTCATGCCCTCTATTTCTGCATGGCACTTAACCAATTTTGGTCTATGACTTTTGGTTTGATTCAAATCATGTGACCTCAGAGAATCCCACCCATCTAAATTGACCTAAAATAATATCTCAATCCAGTCACCAGGAGTTGAAGGTATTATGGTAACAGTAAGCAGAGGACAGGACAATTTTCCAAAATTATCCATCAGTTCTTCTTTTGCCTTAAATTTCTAAAATTAATGGACTCCTGCCTTTGAATTAGCTCTCTTTCCCATAGGCAATGAAAACATGTTGAATTAGTTAAAAAGAAAGTTGCAGGGCATGAGAATCAATATCTTTATTATCATGTGCCTTGATGAGAGAAGGTAAATATATGAAAGACAGTGCAGTCTTGCAAAGCTGGCTGCATAATAAGGATGACACAGGGTAGCAGTTTCTGTGCTACACCTCTGGTCAAAGGCTTCATCTCACAGACAAAAGGTTACAACCTCTGGCTTTAAGCTAAATCCTTCCATCAGATCCACAGTGAGATATCTGGAAAGCCACTTAAACGAAGTGCTGTCTGTCTGCAGAGCAGAAGTCATAATCCGCAGAATCCTTTGGTGTCTCACGCTGTCCATCATTATTGGCATGTTGGGCCTGGCTGCATGGAAATTAGTTGAACCCTGGCAAAAGGCTCTTGAAGTAGGCCAGACATTTATCATTGAAAATAGATAGAAAACTTGCTTTTTATTTGGCCATTTTTTTCCCCAGAGAGTAAGTTCCATTGAACTTGAAGTGACCCATGATTATAATAGCAATTTTATCTTCCAACTGGAGAGGAGGAGGATTTGGGGGCAGTACATTTACTGCCTAGTCTAAGGGCCTCAAAGGAACTTTTACAAACCATATCTTCTAAAACATCTCCCTGACTGATTTTAGTTTTTTTATGGTGTCACCCACTGCAATCCAATTGTGATGAAATGCCCATTCATGGAGGCACTTAATGTCCTAAGCTCTTTTTAGTATATTTTACATAAACAAATGAACCTATTTCTGAGTGTATTTTGAAATTTATATTTTGATTATCTTTACACAAAATTTGAATAACTTAAGTCATGAGATTTTACACTGTAAAAACCATCTATATGCATCATTTGTGACCCAGTCAACAAAGGATTTACCGCCTGGACAACTACACTGTGGTACAGTGGTTAGAGTTCTACATTTGGGTCAGCCCATAGAGGCCAAATTCTAGCTTTACCTCTTGCTAGCTTTGTGACCTTATGCAACTAGCTTAGCCTGATTGTGCCTCAGGTTTACCATCTGTAAAACTAGAATGATACTATAAAGACAGTAGCTATCTTATAAGGTCATTGTGAAGATAAAATGAGATAACAAATACCTGGCACAGAGCAAGTGGTCAATAAATATTAGCTTTTATTACTGCCCTGTTACATCCTCTGGAGTGCAAAAGAAATAAGCAGAGGGTTAGATCTCCTTCCATCAGAATCATTTCATATGGCTGAGAGGTGGCATGCTGAGGTCTACAGAGAAATGACACAAGGCGGGTACCAGGCAGTGATGTATACTATCAGCATTTTGCACTGGTGGAAGTCAGGTTTAAATGATGTGTCACATACTCATGAGAAGTATAAGATGTGGTGTTAATAGTGTAGAACAATCATTTAATGCAACAGCAGTTGCAGCAGCACTGGGTTTGTCTGGGAGGATTGCTCAGTAGACAGAGGATTTGAGCATAGCTTTCACAGATCGGGAAGAAAGAGAAAGGCAGTTATCATCTTATACTTAACTAGTACATGACTACATACAATGAAGTATTCAAATATTAATTTGGTTATTATAAGGTGGGCATTTTTATTCACAATGCCTAACTATCTGCCATTGTAGCTAATTTGAAATTAGGTAGGATTATGGTATATCCAAAATACAAGAGAAAATTAAGGAAATTTTACTCATTAAATTGAGCCCATTATCACAGAGCAATGCATTTTAAGAGTGTTCCCTACAAAGGCAAGATGGGAAAACATTTTAGAAACAGAGCAGTCATATTTTAAGACTTTTTTGACTAGTACTGATTTCATCTTTTATTTAGCCAGGGCATGGATGTTTATTTCCCAAAACGTTCCTGATAAATCCAGCAGACTGCTGTATCTTTTTGCAACACAAATGCACATCATATATAGTTGATCCCAATTTAATATAGGACTTTGTCAATCTAAGAATGACAGTGGAGGACTAGACTCATTTGTCTCATAAACTGTACTCTGGTATTGGGAAACTGTAGGTCATAAATACCAGGGGGAGGACAATTTACATCAGGGTAAACTACAGAGGAGAAGTTTATGATGTCACCATGAACTGGAGTTGTATATTTATGAAGGTCCAGTGATGGATGCGATTTAGCTATAAGGGAAGATTTTCATTTACCATAAATCGAGCCTAATCAGTTTACTGTTTTCATTAACAGATAATGTGTGAAGAATATGCTTAGAGAATATTAAAAGTCTGAAAAAACATAAGGCCTTTGGCTAACTGTAACATAAAAACATGTTTTCTTTGGATTTAACAAATTACTAAGAGAAATGATAATTATTTCATTTTCTACTTCTAAATAGTCTACAACAGAAATTGGTGAACATGAATTGTAAAGAACTTGATAGTAAATATTTTTTACTTTGTAGGCCATATGGTCTCTGTTGAATCTACCCAATTCTGTAGGGAGAGAGAAACCATGGCTCATATGAAAATAAATAAGTGTGACTGTGTTCAAATAAAATGTCATTTACAAAAACAGACTGCAAGATGGCTTTGGTCTTCAGGCTGTAGTTTGATGACCCAGAGTCTACAATAAATTAATTTGAAAAGAAAAGCTTACTGTTTGGTTGTCTCTAGTCAGCCTTGTAGCATTGGGTATTTGTTTTCATAGCACATATCATATCACCTTGATTAAAATAAACAAGGAGAGGCCAAAACTGGAAGGGACATATCCTTGTTCCTATATTTTCTTCACTATGGGTCACACAACATGCGAGGATTCATTCTTTGGGCCAGATACAGTGTTATGAGTGAGAATACAGAGTTGAAAAAGCCATCACTCTTTTCTGTATCTTAAAAGATGTTATGAAAAGAGTGGGTCTAACCAGAGAGAGAAAAAAAATGATAAAACAAATGGCACATACTTTGGAAGGCCATACACTTCACAGGGAAAGAAAGCAGAGAAACAAACAGAATATACTACAGTGGCAACATAGGGAATAATAACTGTCAACGGGGATATTACTCTGGAAGTTTCCTGATGGGATTTGCTCCTTTATATACAGTGGCAACTAATCCCACTTGTCCAATATATTTAGGCTTGCACTATTTTCTTTAGAGCTACTTTCTTATATGTGGTGGGGGTTGTATATATATGGTTCCCAGGGATGCAGATTAGGGCAGTATTTATCTTCAGAGTTGAGATTTTGAATTGAATTAAATATTTTCTGGGACACATGCACCACAATCTCCTCCTCCTCCTTTTATGTAATCCACTTTGTGACTCAACTTGCTGGCTGAATCAGATGCAATACTTAAAAGCCTTTCCACTCCAGTAGCCCCCGATGTAACCCCCCTAAATATGAACTCACGGAGCAGTAGAGAAGTGGCAATATCTCCCCTGCATGGAGCAAAGTCCATTCTTAGGCTGGCTTATTTTCCCCAGAAGTCAGCTAAACTTTCATGTGAATGCTGAAAACTCCATGACACTGCCTTCCTAAATACCTTAGAAATGGCATTTAGCTGTTACTGTGGGAGAGAACTTAAGAAAAATTCAGCACTGATAGAATTACATTTGCTCTTCATTCAATCTTGGTGAGCTTCCTAGGCACTAGAGCACATTGCTTTTACTGTGCTGTCATTTCTGAAAACCAAATTGCACAAAAACTTCTATAATCACCCAAGAGAACTCCTAAGTGGGTTTAGCGTCATTCCATGAATAATAACACTGATAGAGAGAGGGTTTGTGATGTCCCAGGCACTTCCAGACATGGTGACTCATGAAATCCTAGCAGCAGCTCAGGGCAGGCATGTCTCCTTATCTTACTGAAGGGGCACAGTGATGCGCAGAGAGGCAAGCATAACCTTCCGACACTTTAGATCACCTAATACAACCTTTTTGTTTTACAGAAGATGTAAAATAACGTCCAGAAGGATGAAGTAACTCGACCAGTAAAGAGGTCAGAGGGTGCTGCCACAGTCAGGAAGGGGCTGATTTTTAGACCAGAGTTCTTTTCACTGTTTTCCAATAGTTCTCTACTTTGTGCTCATATACCAATGTGAAATTAAAGAGACAACATGAGATAATGAAATTCATCAAAAGACAGCGCAGAGTAAACCAGCTGCAATAAAAGCAAAACCTTTCAAGGGTAAATGACACCAGGTGCCAGAAATGGGCTTAAAATAAGAGCTTTAAACATTTTGTTGGGAGAGAATTAGGTTCTGAGCTTCCTGTTATTTGCCCGTCCTATCTACATTCAGTGGCTGTCTTCTCATTTGGATAAAATCAGGGTTTATAATATTTTCTGTAGTTAACAATTAGATATGAATATTTTCTTTTTTTTTTTTTTACATATACAACTCCAGGTACTTGAAGATTTCACTAAATTCACACTGTCCAAAATTATACATACTTTTGTCTGCATTTTGAAATGAATGTCTTATTCATTTATATTCACAAAACATGCAGTGTCTGGCATAAAATAGGTGCTCAACAAATCTTCATGAAATTTATACAAAAGAGTTCTTTTTTTTTTTACTACTGTGAAATAGAAAATGTTCTCATCTTCTCACCAAGTTGTAATAATAATATTATTATGAATAACAGCTAGTATTTTTAATGTATATTGTGGCCAGACAATGTTCTAAGGGGTTTACACGGATCTACTCTGTTAATCCTCAAAACGATCCTGTAAGGTAGTATTAGTATTCCCATTTTATACATAAAAACCCTCCAAGACACAGAGCTGTTATGTAACTGCAACACAGTCCCCAACTAGAAGGTAGAAGTTCCAAGTCCTGCATGCAAACCCAGAATGCCTGTTCCCTGAGCCCACCCTTTTAATGATAAAAATGACTTAGTGAGTTATTATATTTTCATTTTGCTATAGTGAGAGCAACTAAGAAAAGATGAGATTCAAAATTGCTGTTATATAATAGTTATTTTGTGCAATAGAATTAATTGTGACAGATTTGGCCAGCTATAAAGATAGTTAAGGATCAAGAGTCTTCATTATTCTAATTTATCTTTTTTCATGTAACACATACACAAGTTAATGTGGAATGCCTATCCCACTTCCACCTTGAAGTCCCAGAAAAAAATTGTAAGGCAAACATAAGAATATCATACAGAACAAGCCCCCAAGTCCATCATCACATCCAAGGATGATGCTGAGACATTCTGCACAGAAATTTCAAAGTTCTTCATTCTGACACATTATCACCCACATATATTTGTGTAAAAGATTGCTAAACACCAAATTTAGGTCTATGAGTTAACTGAAATTATATCCAGAAAAAACTACCCTATTTCAAAGAAAAGATGAAAATGAGCCTTTTATTTCTCACATTCAAGAGAGTGGAAATAAAGAATCCAACAATTTAATGTACCTCCTTGTTTAAAAAAATGCATGAAAGTATTTAATGTCTACTGTGAGCCTGGCGCTAATAAGGCCTTGGACATACATGGTCCCTATTTTAAGGGTCTATGAGAAGTATATGTCAACCAAATAGCCACACACACCAAGCACAAAACTGCAATGTGATATAATTAAGACAAAGAGGTGAATTTTTGCTTAAGAACCTCTGAAGAAAGAATTTGATTTAGGGTGGCCCAAGATGACTCCATGAGAAGACAATGCTGGTACTAGTGTCTAAAGAATGAGTAAATGTCTGCTAAGAGTTGATGGGAAGGAAGAAGGAGGACAAATGACACAAGCTAACACCATAAGGTGAGAGGAAGTAGGAAGGCCGAGAATGTAAAGAAATAAAATACAGCCAGATGTGCTGGCACAGAAGGTCCCAGTATTGTGGCTGAGATGGGACCGTTGAGATCCTTGTGGCCATGTTAAGGGGACTTTTGTTTATTCTAAGATGAGTGGGAACCCACTGATTCATTAGCTGTTGTAGCATTTTCTTCAAGTTCATATATTTCCAGGGTGGTCAAGAGACTGAGTGGGAGGGCATGAGTCAGTCAGTCATGAGGCTACTGAACTCTATAGATGCCTTCTACAGTTCCCAATGTAGCTCACAGAAATCAAAATGCACATAAAATGCTTACATGGTTGTTAAGACTTGAATTGTGCTCCCCGCTCTCCCCAAAAAAGATATGTACAAAGGGAAAACTACTGATGCGTAATTATACGTGCTATCTTTCTCTTGGTCAAAATGATAGACAATGGTAACTACTACAAGATAGAACTACTACAAGAGAAATCTTTATCTGTAAATTAGGACAAAAATCACCCAACTTTTTTCTCAGTTTAAACCCAAATATTCCTTTCTTTTACTTTAAGCCAATTGAAGGTAAAAACCTGTCAAATGAATATTTACAGATTATAAAATCATTTCTTGGTAATAAAGCAGTTATATTCATTTCAGAAATTGATGAGAACTTATATTAACCAATATAACACTGAATAGTTTATTTTTCAGTAAAATACATGAAAATGAAAGAACAATTAGACACATCACTAAGAAATTCCCTAAAGAAAATGGTACGTGGATACATTATAATTTAGCTGGTATAAGTACATGTTTGTGCATTTTTAAAAGATAGATACTGTTTAAGAGAAAGTGCTTAAGACCTAAGACTGGACAATAATGCCAAGAATAAAATACCAGATTGCCCACATGCTAGCTGGGTAATGTTACTGCTTCTATTAAATTGAAGATATAATAGTATAGACCCCACAGAGATGTTAAAGAGATGACCTAAGTTAATGAAGTGTTCATTAGAAATTTTTCTCTGCGTTGACTCCCATTAGCACAATACAAATTCTCATTTCTTTCATCTTAACATAATAATAATCATTACTATTAATAGTATTAGATAATAATCCTCTTTCCCTTTATTCTACTTTGAAGTTAGCTTCAATGTCTCCCTTCCCTTTTTATAACAAAATTCCTCAAAAGTCTTGTTTACATTTGCTGCCCACAGTGACTCTCCTCCTATTCTTCCCTAAAACCACTTAGACTTTCACCCCCACTACTCCAATAAAACTGCTAGTCGATACCACCAATGAGCTCTGCATGGCTAATTTGACAGGCCATTCTCATTCTCATACTCTTTTGCAAACTGTTACTTGCTTCTCCTCCTTCCCTCCTCCGTGCTACAGGTTTTTAAACTTGAATTCTAGAACATCATGTTTTCATGGTGTTCTTTCTGTCTCATTGGTTCTTTTCCTCAATCGTCTTTGCTGATTTGTCCATTTCTTTGAGATTTCTGAAGCTGGAGTTCTTGGATCTCTACTCTTCCCTACATGCACTCATTTCCTTGGTGATCTCATCCAGTCTTCCATCTTCCATTGGAGATAAGTTTCAAATTTTCTACTTGTTTGCATTAATAAAGTGTTGATGCCAAATTATGTATGGGACCTAAAATGGCAAACTAAAATTTCATAACTAATAGACCCCACATATAACCATAATCCATTGGCCATTATTTATTTATACAAGCTCAATTAATAATATAATGACAGTGTAGAAATATTATGTTATTAACAAAACAACAGATAGTAATTGGGATTAATTTGACCACCTCAAAAAAGATTTAATTGTACGAATAAAGATTTGTGAATAAGAAGCACTTTCAGCACTGAAAAATATCAATAGCAACTAATCAGTCAAACTGTTAAGTGGTAGACAACCAATGCATTTACATTATAATTAATATTATTTAAAATAAATTGTTTTAAAGGGTAGTTGTAGATTTTTTGTTATAGGGTAGAATTTGAATTGTAATATGTAATTAATGTATGTTAGCAGCAATTTATCCACTCTCAAAGTGAAAAAAGAAAATAAATACTAATGGTTCAATTCAGTTCTTTCCTCTTCCCCATTATCTATGGCCCACAAAGATCATTCCTCTCTTTGACCCTATATATTATTTATAGTCTGTATTACATAGTTTGGCACTTATATTTCTGTGTTGTTCTTTATTCGGGGTGTATATATACATTTTCTCTATTTGGAAAAATTATTAGCAACTTAAAGGCCAGTTCTCCCATTCCACTTTCTCTAGCCCTTAGTAGTAGTAGCCCTTTGCTTTAACGCATTTGCTGAAAACAATGTGTTCAGAAAGCAAAGTAACAGTTACCAACAGTCCTATAAATAACATATGATATTCCCAATATTTTAAATAGATTTCAATTTAAAGCTTCTTTTTTTCTACCTTACTTTGTATATATTCCAAAGACCTGAAAGTGGGCTGAATCTCTGGGCTTCTTTTTATTCAGAGATAAAGACAATTTCCAATTCTCAAGGAATAAAAATAAACTGTTGTTATATCACTTGCACATGCTGACAAAGGCACCATTTTATTATTCTCTAAACAAGACAGGACCTGATCAAATTATTCTGGATAACATCTGCACAAAACTTGAGCTATCTATAGAATTCACAATGGGTTGACATAGCTGACCATTTCCAAATCTTATGCAACACCTCTGATATTTTTATGGTTTGTCATCTCCCACAGAGTGATTCTTTCATTCTGCTGCCTTCCTTCTACATGAAAACTTTCTTTGATTCTCTCCTGCTGCTTAGGAGTAAACTCCCTGATGTGTTTGCAATTTATTGTGATCTATTTTCCTTTTTCCAATAAGGATGAATTTTATACCCCCTTCTAATAGTGACCAATGGGAAAAATGTCTTCAGGTGATGTTAGTGACAAAATGCATTGCATCCCTTTGGTACTAAATAAGTGATATGTGGCTGTAAATATTGTATTGTATTGCCATTTTAATATAGGAAATGTTGAATAAGAATCTACAACAAGAAATAGGCACCAGACAGTGGCAATGAGAAAAGGTAGTTACTGCTATTTTTCTTTGACTTCTTATTTTATTAAATCCACAAGAAATTTGGCTTTGCCTATTTAACCACGTTCTCTTAAATGGAGGCACAATGAACCAGGTCTGGAGGTCAGCTAATGATGTAGCAAGAGGATCCATTATCAAAGTCAAGACTCACAATCCATTCCTGGTTTGTTTCTCCAAAGTGCTTATTTCTTTTAATTGAAGCTATAGCCACCTCAAACATGTCCACCACAGTTCCATCTGCATAGAATGATGTTCTACACATGTCCACCTTGAAAATATCTGTATCTTTGCAAAATTAGTTCAGGCATCAGGATATCTAGGTTCTTCCCAAGCCTGTGCACCAACTAACTACCCACTGCATCATTGAGACATAGTTTCTTACTTACTCTTTGGAGTAAACTGTGCAAATATTTTTGCTACACACAGCTCCCTACAAATTTCTCATTTGCCTATGTTCCTTTGTCTCTTATTCTGATATTTTTGTAGTGAGGATCCATGCCTTCTGGACCTCTCAGTACACTCTGCCTACCACAGCACCTGAAACAAGGTAAGTGCTCCATTAATACTTGCTGATTGTTAATGTTTGGATGACTTAAACATTCTTTGGACATCCTGCCTTATCCTCAACCCACTTGACATCACTTAGGAGTCACGATATTCTGCTTAACTCTCAACTTTCAGCTGCTGTTGAGTAGACCTATAGGGAAGGCAATTTTCACCCAAATAAGATTATTTTGGGAAGCATAGTTTATAGGAGGCTGTGTTGTAGCCTCTTGAGCCTGAAGGAGAGAACTGAGATGGCAGTGCAAGAATGCTGATATATACTCTCTCACCAATTCATATGCATCTGAGGAACAAACACAAAAGGCATGATCCATGAAAGAATCAATACACTGGACTTCATTAAAATTAAAAACTGCTCTGTGAAAGACACTGTCAAGAGAATGAAAGGAGAAGCCACAGGCTGGGAGAAAATATTTGCAGTAGGCATATCTGATAAAATACTGTTATCCAAAATATAGAAAGAATGATTAAAATCAACAATAAGAAAACAAGTCAATCAAAAAATGATCTAAAGACTTCGACACCTCACTGACATACAAATGGCATACAAATGGCAAATAAGCAAACAAATGGCAAATAAGCATACGAAAAGATGCTCCACATCATATGTCATCAGGGAAATGCAAAAGAAAACAACAATGAGATACACTACACACTTATTAGAATGACCAAAATCCAGAACACTGACAACACCAAATGCTGGTGAGAATGTAGAGCAACAGAAACTCTCACTCATTGCTGGTGGGAATGAAAAATGGTATAGCCACTTTGGAAGACAGTTTGTCAGTTTCTCCCAAAACTATAAATACTATCCTGCATTCTTGCTCCTTGGTATTTTCCCAAAGGAACTGAAAACATATCCACACAAAAACCTCCATGCAGATATTTATGAAAGCTTTATTCATAATTGCCAAAACTTGGAAGCAACCAAGATATCCTTCCGTAGATGAATGGATAAATAAAATTGTGTTACACCCAGATAATGGAATATTATTGAATCTTAAAAGGAAATGAGCTACCAGGCCATGAAGAGACACGGAGAAACCTCACAAACATATGACTAAGTCAAAGAAGCCAATCTGAAAAGGCTACATACTGTAGAATTCCCAACTACATGCCATTCTGGAAAAGCAAAAACTATAGAGACAATACAAATATCAGTTATTGCCAGGGATTAGTAAGGATGGAGAGATAAACAGGTGGGACATAGAGAGTTTTCAGGGCAGCATTATTCTGTAGGATACTGTAAAAGTGAACACATGTTATTAGATGTTTGTCCAAACCTACAAAATGTACAACACAAGAGTGAACCTAATGTAAACTATGGTCCTTTTTGATAATGATGTGTCAATGAGGTTCATCAGTCATAACACATGTGCCACTCTGGTGGGGACATTGATACCAGGGGAGGCTGTACATGAGGTGAGGGGCAGGAGGGGAAAGGTTATGTGGGAAATCTCTGTACCTTCCAATTTTGCTGTGGACCTAAAACTGCTCTGAAAAAGAATGTCTATTCTTTTAAAAAAATGTACTTAGATTCTTTTAGGTGGGAAAGTAAATTAGGTATCTTAAGGATAGACTATTCAATAAAAGAAAGTTCATTGTTGTAAATTTCTAAAAATAACAAAAAGTGATACAAATAATGTGTTATCAAGCAGACTATATTAATGGATTAGTTAGTTGATTAATGGATAAGAATACTCTGTAGTCAATAATTAAAACGTTATTCCATGTATGTAGATGCTTCTTAAAAATCAGAAAATATCTCAACTATATAAAATGTCTTTTGTATTAAAATAATTTTAACATGTATTTCAAAGAAAATCTTCACGTGTGATTTCAGTGGATTACCAGTGAAAATTTAACAATATAATCCAAATGAAAATATAACATGTAAGCTCATTCTATTAAGAAACAAGTGTGATTTGAGAACAGATAACTAAAGAGCACAGTTTTGGGGAAAAATACCCTAGCATTTTGCAGAATCATGAGGTTTAAGGTTATCTTTAAATAAATCAAATACTACTATCGTGAAAAAAATAGTTTTTCAATATAAGGTAGCTTGGATCAATAAATACGGATTCAGAGATTTCCAAACGAGAAATGGGATGAAGGAAAAAAGATTATTGCTGTTCCCCAAACTGCTCACTCAGTGTTTATGAAAGAGACCTGAATATCATCAGGAAAATCTCTGTTAGGTCTCTGTTGGATTCAGTGAATTGTGTTTGACTGGCTGAGTAGGCAGATTATGGTAATTTGAAAGAAACACCCCAACCTTTGCATAGAGGGTGTTCATGAATGATTTCCTCTTTATTTTCTTTGTTTTGTGGTTGTAATCAGATCCACGACGTGAAGTGTCATTAATCATGTATGATAATGATACTTCCACCATGATTTATGGAAAAGGCTAAAGCAATTCCGACACCTGACAATAGTTACAGTCATTTTATCTTGTCCCTGTGAACATGTTACTGTGTTTCATTGACTTGAGTAGTTTTGTGAATTTTAATAGTGTTCATATATAGTATTTAATTCCCGTGAGGACAACAATAACACAAATATTAAAAATAAAATTATAAAAATGAACTTGTCTTCCTTTCTGGAGCATCAGTAAAGAAATTCAGAAAACACATTAACGTGTATCATTATCTGGGGAAGGCAGTTTGAATTTGATCAACTATACTACTTCATAAAGATACAATTATTGCCACCATGTGAGTTTAAAGGGATTGACTAACACAAGGATAAGAGACAAATTGTCTACAGGTGTTAAATAGAGTAAAATTTTAAAATTCATATTTTTTTTATTTCTGTCTCGATTGAAGGTTTTAGGAGTGAAAATATAGTAATTAAGGCATTATATAGAACGGTCTATTAGAACAATTTATCCTGAATGTAAAAATTTGATTAAAGACTTGCAAATGATTTTACAAGCTTTACTCAGTTCTACACTTTAACCTCTACTTGGTTTTTGAAAGACAAAGAAATTGTTGTGGAGAATGGTAATATGATAATAAACTGATTTTTCTGCCTTATTTATAAATCCAATGGTTCCTTTGCCATAGTGGTGGTAAGGCGTTGTTCACACCGATGCATTGTACCAAGAAGAAAAGATTACATATAGGCAAGAAGCAGGGAAAGACAAATAGATGTTACTTAACCTTGAATTATACTCCTGGAGCCTGGCTGAATTTTTAAAATTATCCCCACCATTTAATTAGAGTATTGCTTGACCGTGTTTTGGTTTTTAAATAAAACTTTTCATTATTAGTGACAATGTCAGAAGAGGAAATAGTAAACATAGAACAATGTTCATCACATTTCTTCTGTATTTCCCCAGAAATATTTGTAATTATTTTTTAACTGGATTTTTAATTACCATTTTATCCCCTTGAAATTGGTACATATGTTGCCTGCATAAGATTAAAATACTGATTAAATACTAAGATGAGGAACATAAATTTTTGTACAAAATAAACTTTAATAAGCACAAAAGACAGATCCCTTCTGGGAATGATACTAGCCAATAAGAGAGAGGGTGAAATATCCCTCTAGATTGGAAACTGGATCATAGCCATTCAGAAGATCCAACAGAGAAGAGATGTAATTTTGAAGTCAACACTCAGGGAACAATAAAATTTCAAGTAACAGAATCACAGTCAGTTCCCATGTACAATCAATAATAAAACCATGTGTACAAGAATTGAGAGTTTGTGGGGAAAAAGTCTCTTTTCAGTGGTTTTCTGCTATTAATTGGAGAGAGAGAGAGAAATCATTAATCAGAAAGTTTTTACTTTTAACTTTATACTGTAGGCTCTACTTTAGGAAAAGCTGGTAGTATTTATTTTAGACATATTGTACCACAAATTGCTAAGTCCTGAAAATTTCCAGTAGAAATCATGAAATTATTTGGAGTGCTTATTTCGGCTTTAATTAGTTGTCTACAACAAAAATCTTATTGTTGACTGTAGCCTTAAAGATACTTTGGAGAGAATACAGAGAACAGAATAGGAATGTGGTGTCTGCTGAACTTTATTGATTCAGCCCCATGTGTATCTTATATGCAGTTTACAAAGTATGCGTTTCCAAAAGGCATTGTGCATATACCTGTAAACTTTAGACAAGAACAAAAACTGAGATGACTTCCATGTGTGTTCCTTTGTTTGCCAATGCCTAGCAGTGTAATGAGACTAGAGTAGATATAAAGAGAGCCTATTCCTCAGAACCGGTATAGTATTCCATAATTAGTATCATCATGTTTATAATACAGAATATTACAGTGTTTAAATTTGATATTGCTGTCATAGGTTTTTGTTGTCAACTACTTTGGAATACATTTTGCTTTTTTCACCTCTATGTAAAACTGTGATATTATAGACTATTCTTAGTCTTAGGAATCTGCTATTGCTTACCAAACACGTTTATCATATTTTTGTCTCATATAACTATCATAAAAACTTCAGGTAAGTACATCATCCCCACTTCCTATTATCCCCACTTTGAAGATGAGATAACAGAAGCTCAGTGACCTAGAATTTCACTAGGTAACAAGTGGCAGAAGGATATAATCCTCTACTTATTTTACTTGGTACACAAAATCCTGTTGACTGTGCGATTTGATATACTAGATTCACCTGCATATTGATTTAACAAACTGTAGAGTAAATACAAACATAATGCTGTTTTTCAACATCATTATACAATTAAATTTTAAACATAATTCTTCCAAGCTAGCAAAAGTGCCTTCAAATCTTCCCGAGATATATTTAAAGGTTACAGTCAGTGGAAACTTTAGCATAAAAGAAGACTTTCATAAAAGTACTTATTTCCCTCTACTGCAGTGAGCCAAATCTTGATTCCTGAACACTCCTAGCTGACTTCATTTGTGATCACTTTTCAGCCTATATTCTTCCCTGACTGTTAGATGGCACTGTGCCCTCTAACAAAGTGCTATGCCAATTTTTTTAGGATACACATGCCAATCAAATGTGAGATTCAATAGAGAACACTGCAAACACCATTTCCTTAGGAGGACATCCATTATCTCTGGCAGTAACGTGTATTTAACACCAAATAGATCATGAGTGCCAAAATTAAAATTATGAATCATATACAAAAACATAGTATAGTAGATTTAGATGTCTGGCTCTGCCAGCAAAACAGGTTGAATTCTAGAGGCCCATGGAAATCCATTAGGCATACAGGTATCCAGCTGCTCAACACTGTCTTTGGAATTTGAAGTGATTTTTTAAAAAGTCCTGTTATTATAAAAGTAAGCTGTGTTACACCAAAATTAGAATTAAGCCCAATTACAAGGATGACAATCAGAAGTAGTTAGATTCTCAAGCCATATTCAAAGACACATACAATGAAGTACAGCCTACAACTTTCAAAATAACTGCTAGTGCATTAATTGGCCAACCCCTTCCAAGGCAGATCTAAATGCTCAGAGGTGCAGTCCTGAAACTATACTTCAGTTTCTCAGTCATATGTCTAAGACCTCAATAACCATCACATTGGGAATTTCATTCCCAATAAGCATTTCATGTGGTCTAATCTCCTCACTTCATCAAAGAGAAAAGAAATTAAGTTATTCAGACAACTAATTAGGGTCAAACTAAGAATTCCCTTCCAGGTATCTCCTATTTCTGGTCTAACGAGCTCTGGATTACATCAAGTTTCTCCTCTCTTTACATTTTCTCCTATGTTATTTTCATATTACGGTCATGATATAGCATATAATGTAAAAGAGAAAATGTACATATATATATAATTAAAATTCACTGTTCCCAGCAGCAGTTGCATATACCTTGTGACTAGTCAATAAATATTAACTAGTTGTTTATGGAGTTTTATTTTCTCAATAAACAGTGAATTTTCATATCTTCATTAGAATTTATGCTTCTGTTGATATAAAATCTGTGACTGGCAAAATAAAATGGTCTAAGGTCAAAGGGTCCCCATAGGTTGAGCTTGTACCAATGGTCTCCCGAGTTATTATGACTCATGAATACCTATCTTAGCCCTCATTGGCCTCTACTATTCATTTGTCTGGGATCCACTTTAGAATGGGAATTCTAAGGCTGGGCTAGGTGTTATTTACCATCGCACCCACTGCACCTGCCAAAGAGTTGGTGTTCAATAAATGCTGCTGAATGAAGGGGTGAATAAACATATGCACTGGTGTTTTCTACAGATTGCCAAAATTACCCTGGCCAAACCTACTGATTGTCTTTTTCATGCGTGGTTTGTTTTCAAAGATTTCTCATAGGAACTAATGCATCTGAATAAGATCTTCCTTTTAATCGCTCATTCATGACAACAGCCTTTTTTTACTCATGGGCATGAATGATTAAGACCTCTCAGAGGAAATTATTTTAATTACAGAAGTCAGAACAGCTTAATTGTAAATGTGCAATGTGAGCACTTTACAAAAGAGATTATTAGTTGCTTCTCCCTTTATTTCTTTCCTTTCTCCTTAATAATTCTAATAATTCACGGTAAAAATGTTCCCATCATTTTAGCATTTTGGTACATCTTTCTCTTCTGTTTACCCACACCTAGGGAAATGTACAATGTTCACGTGTGAAGACTATGAAACTACTGGTATACCCTTCCTTCCACTAATCATTTACCAAACTCAATTGTAATAAGTAAGTCAACAAGCCTCTGGAAAGATGAGCTGAATTCTAAGGCAAGAAGGGAAAATCTGAGGGAAAGAAGAGTTGCTCCATTAACTATGGAAACAGTATAGATATCTTTATCTATGTATAGGTGGACAGTATAGATATAGGTGTTTTGGAAGTCTGAGTACAAAGATTCACCACTCTTCAGCAGATCTTGAGCTGCAACTGCATCTAGGTGAGAGCTAGAGGGAGATGGGCCTTCTCAGCTTATATTCAGTCATTCATCTTTCATTCATCTACAATGTCTTTCGAGCTGGATATTCCAAAAAACCTAAAAAGAAGCTACCACTCTGTTGGGTAACAACATGCCATGAGTATTTAATTTTATCTCTTTTGTGAGAAAGTAGGGTTTTAGAAAGAACTATAGTACATCCTTTTCCAAAACCATCAGGTATTCAGGCAGGGCACTATTTACAATAAAGTGGGAGATGTTATAACGCATATGAATATTACTCTCCTTCATCCCAACCATGGTAAGACTGAAAGAAAGAAAAAAAGTAATATAATAGAAGTAATAATATTTATTCAACGTCTACCATATCCAAATTGCAATAGTTCTTGCTCTGAGGAATGATAAGGATGGAAGGCATGTTCCTTCCCTGAGTACTAGTTTACAATTTCAGGTTGGGAAGGCCCACTGTATGGTACAATGTGAAAACTTTGAATCAACAAACATGCTGAAATCTTAGTACAGGGGTTCTGAAAAGAGGGTGAGTAAAAAACTGGTTCAGCTCTAAGGAGCTTCCTGGATACATGAGATATGGTGGTCAGTGGATTTTAGCAAGTTTTGAGTGAGGCAAGCGAGCTGGGTTTGAAAGAAAGGGGAGAGGAAGGCACAATGAGTAAGGAAAGTGGCAAAGAAACTCTGATAAAAATTACATTGGTTGCGGGGGGCAGTGGGCAAGACAAATTTGCTTGAGAAATTGGCTGTTGAGTTGGGACTAAAGATACCAGGCCGCAAGGTAAGTGAGAGATGGAAGACTTAAAGGCAAGGCTGCGGACTTCAGACTTGTCAACCTCTTGAGGGTAGGAATATGACATTTAAAGTCCATGCCTAGCAGAGAATCAAGGACTTAGTAAATACCCCAGATTTTTAAAAAGTAATTGATAAGTAATATACTGCCAGGACTTGTAAACAGGACAGTAACCTCATCAAAGTGGTATTTGATGAAGATATTCGTAGGATGCCCAAAAGAAGGTACAGAGCCTAATGACTGGGAGGGTTGCCTTAAGGTGGCAACAGCCTATTCTTGGGGTGATTGAGATGTAGATTTCAGCAGAAACCAAGGCACGGGAAAGGGAGAAATATAGAGAGGAAGCAACACAGAAAGAAAGCAACACAAAACGAAAGTTACAAAATGATTGTGTTGCTTGAAATTTCTAAACTCAATTTTCAATAGTTTGAGGGTTTCTGAGTACCCAAGAGAAAGCACAAACCGTAGATGCTGGAATAAAGAAAAAGTAAGAATTTGAGGATGCAGATAGAAGTTATGTACAAACTTTCTCTCTGTTGGAAATACTCTGACATACTTGTAATCTCTCAAAAAGATTTTTGACTCAGAAGTGAAAAGTAGAGAGAAAATGACTGTGTAGCTAAGATTATGGGATGCTGACATTAAATTGACTGGCCCCAGAAATTGAGTCAATGTTGTGTTCAAAAAACTGCTAGACCAATATTCTGGGCTCTCTTGAGGGAAAGGACTTTAAATCTCACAATAAATCCATGTACATATTCTAAATTAATTTAACGAAGAGAATTATAAAATAAGCCCAAAGTCAGCTCTTCAGCACCATGATACTTTGAGCCCAGGAGAAAGTTGTGTGTATTCAGAACATGGTTGCAGCCACAGAGGCATATACTTCTGCCAGGTTGATCTGACTCTCTATATTACAAAAGGAAAATGAATTACACATCACAATTTGCAGCATGGCGGTGAAAGTATCAATTCCATAATGCATACTTAAAAATTAATAGGAATTATTAAATATGACCCACCTAATGAGAAGATCCTTCCTCATGGAGATAAGCATTTTGGGACAATGAATGTCAATTTGGTTAACTTACTTAGTGTAACACCGTATGCACCCAAGTAATAATTCACTAAAATTGTAATTTCATATTTTTTAAAAAGTTATATTCTAAAATGTTTAATGACAAATCAAATAGAACCAATGCTTCATGGCTGTTACCTGAAAAGAACCTTCTTTACCCAAAGATTGTGAAACACCCTCAAATCTACGTGAACACAAATGAGTCATGTGGTTTTGAGTCATTTAACCCAGTGACGGGCCAGCTTTATGAGTATTATGGCTATTTTTAAAGAGCTAAACATCTCAGACGGCCCCTTCTCATGATCATAATTGGGCATTTATTTATTTCGTTTACTGCTGATACTAACATCCACAGACACGTGCCACCTCCTGTATTAATGCGTCTCCTCCACTTCCCCAGAGCCGACTGAAAATCACAGAGTAGTTCATCCATGATGACTTGCAACCTTCCTCATGGCCATTACACTTAAGGGACAGAAGTAGCACTCCTTGTAGGGCCTTTGAGGCAATGGCAAGAACAAATCCCTCAATAAAGTGTCTATGTTACTTATGTTAGAGTTCCAATTACAGACAAAAATGCATTATGAAAAGACAGAATATTTCTCCATTTTCCTTGTGTATGAATAATCGTGAAATAAACAGAAAGTGTATGAATAATCATCCACAAGAGTTTAGGCTTCCTAGGGAGATATTTTAAATTTTCTTATCTTAAATATGAGAATAATGTATTAAAACATTATCTCCATACTAATTCCTTAGCTATAGCCACAAGCTCTTCTTCAGTATGTGAAATGTGGCTAGTCCAACCCCAAATGTGCTATAAGCACAAAATACACACCAAAATTTGAGGCTGGAGTGCAATGGCGCAATCTCAGCTCACTGCAACCTCCGTCTCCCCGGTTCAAGTGATTCTTCTGCCTCAGTCTCCCGAGTAGCTGGGATTACAGGTGCTCACCATCATGCCTGGCTAATTTTTTTGTACTTTAAGTAGAGACAGGTTTCACCATGTTGGCCAGACTGGTCTCAAACTCCTGACATCACGTGATCCACCTGCCTCGGCCTCCCAAATTGCTGGGATTACAGGCGTGAGCCACCGTGCCCAGCCTGAAAATTTCAAATTATATATGTGGCTCACATCATATTCCTGTCGAATAGCACTACCATAGACCATTGAGTTTTGCATTAGGTTGCTGTATTTAGAGACCAAAAATTCAACTGTGGGTGAAGCAGTGTGGAATATTACAGCATAGGCTCTGTGTCATTCTGCTTTAGGTTTCTTATATAATAAGTGGAATGATAACCATACCTATCTCATAGGTTTAATGTAAGGGCTAAATGGCAAGGTGTAAAAAGTACTTAGCATAGTGGCTGGCAAGTAATCATTTGTTAGCTTGCATTACATTGAACAGGAAGAGAATTTTCATAATGGTGATGATATTATAATGACATAAAATAGGAACAATTCTAAGCCTGTGCTTGCTATACATTTTGGTACATTTTGGCTTCAATGTCTAGTTGTATATATTACGAGGATGTTTTTGAGGGCATTAATGGAAGGGAGGATTCTTCCCTGGTCCTAACATCAGAAATAGTAGAGTTTTCTTCTTAGCTTTTGGTTTACTTTCATTTATTTATTTATTTATTTATTTTTTATTATACTTTAAGTTTTAGGGTACATGTGCACATTGTGCAGGTTAGTTGCATATGTATACATGTGCCATGCTGGTGCGCTGCACCCACTAACTCGTCATCTAGCATTAGATATATCTCCCAATGCTATCCCTCCCCCCTCCCCCCACCCCACAACAGTCCCCAGAGTGTGGTATTCCCCTTCATGTGTCCACGTGATCTCATTGTTCAATTCCCACCTATGAGTGAGAATATACGGTGTTTGGTTTTTTGTTCTTGCGATAGTTTACTGAGAATGATGATTTCCAATTTCATCCATGTCCCTACAAAGGACATGAACTCATCATTTTTTATGGCTGCATAGTATTCCATGGTGTATATGTGCCACATTTTCTTAATCCAGTCTATCATTATTGGACATTTGGGTTGGTTCCAAGTCTTTGCTATTGTGAATAATGCCGCAATAAACATACATGTGCATGTCTCTTTATAGCAGCATGATTTATAGTCCTTTGGGTATATACCCAGTAATGGGATGGCTGGGTCAAATGGTATTTCTAGTTCTAGATCCCTGAGGAATCGCCACACTGACTTCCACAATGGTTGAACTAGTTTACAGTCCCACCAACAGTGTAAAAGTGTTCCTATTTCTCCACATCCTCTCCAGCACCTGTTGTTTCCTGACATTTTAATGATTGCCATTCTAACTGGTGTGAGATGATATCTCATAGTGGTTTTGATTTGCATTTCTCTGATGGCCAGTGATGATGAGCATTTTTTCATGTGTTTTTTGGCTGCATAAATGTCTTCTTTTGAGAAGTGTCTGTTCACAGAGTTGGAAAAAACTACTTTAAAGTTCATATGGAAGCAAAAAAGAGCCCGCATCGCCAAGTCAATCCTAAGCCAAAAGAACAAAGCTGGAGGCATCACGCTACCTGACTTCAAACTATACTACAAGGCTACAGTAACCAAAACAGCATGGTACTGGTACCAAAACAGAGATATAGATCAATGGAACAGAACAGAGCCCTTAGAAATAACGCCGCATACCTACAACTATCTGATCTTTGACAAACCTCAGAAAAACAAGCAATGGGGAAAGGATTCCCTATTTAATAAATGGTGCTGGGAAAATTGGCTAGCCATATGTAGAAAGCTGAAACTGGATCCCTTCCTTACACCTTATACAAAAATCAATTCAAGATGGATTAAAGATTTAAACGTTAGACCTAAAACCATAAAAACCCTAGAAGAAAACCTAGGCATTACCATTCAGGACATAGGCGTGGGCAAGGACTTCATGTCCAAAACACCAAAAGCAATGGCAACAAAAGCCAAAATTGACAAATGGGATCTAATTAAACTAAAGAGCTTCTGCACAGCAAAAGAAACTACCATCAGAGTGAACAGGCAACCTACAACATGGGAGAAAATTTTCGCAACCTACTCATCTGAAAAAGGGCTAATATCCAGAATCTACAATGAACTCAAACAAATTTACAAGAAAAAAACAAACAACCCCATCAAAAAGTGGGGTTTACTTTCATTTAATTAAGAAATAGTGTTTACCGGCCAGGCGTGATGGCTCATGCCTGTAATTCCAACACTTTGGGAGGCTGAGGTGGGCGGACCATGAGGTCAAGAGATCGAGACCATCCTGGCCAACATGGTGAAACCCCGTCTCTACTAAAAATACAAAAATTAGCTGGGCATGGTGGTGCATGCCTGTAGTCCCAGCTACTCAGGAGGCTAAGGCAGGAGAATCACTTGAACGCAGGAAGTGAAGTTTGCAGTGAGCTGAGATCGTGGCATTGCACTCCAGCCTGGTGACAGAGCGAGACTCTGTCTTAAAAAAAAGAAACAGTGTTTACACCAAATGATGGCCAATATAAAGCTTAAAGGAGACTTTGCAAGTTCACAGGCTAGGGAGATGAACAATAACTGTGAGTGAAGTTCACTGAATGTGTTCTTTAACCACAGATGCTATTTGTATATTAAATATTTAACATATTGTGTACTTCCAAAACAAAACAAAAAAAAGCATTATTTTTGAAGCATTATTTTTCTTGACACATGGCTTATTTGGATTACACTTTTTCACTTTTGGTTAAAAAATAGGTACAGAAAAATATTTATTTATTATGAACAAAGGAGCTAAGCACTGAGCTAAATGGCAACTAGCACTGAATTCAGGATCAGGCCAACTCCAGGAGTGTTCAGACCTGCGTTAAACTGAACATGGATGCTAAGGCAAAAAAAAGCTCAGTCTAAAGACTAATTAACTCCAGCTGATCTTTGCTATGCAATTGCCGGCTCAGGGTTGTTTTATCTTCCAAGAAACTGTAGAAATCCATATTTTATGTCAATCCGCCCAATTTAAAAACATTGCTTGAAATCCTAAAGAGCTCATGCCAAATAAATTATGTTTTTTTATACAACTGGGCCAGTTTGGACCAAGGTCCACCAGTTTTTAATCTGACATAGATTCAGATTTGGGGCCCAATGGAAGGTATTGTTCATGGATTTCTACCACACATTTTTTTGTCAGCCTCATTCCTTATCTCCCCTTTATATACCCATCCTTTCTTTTCCCTTTTGAATGAAAACTGTTTCTAAGTTATGGAACTATGTGGAGTAGGTATAAAGTGATCAGTAAATTCCAGCAGTTAAATACATGATAAGAGAGCTACGGAGCTCCCATGTACCTTGGAATTCAGAGTGAAAAGTGAGTCAGGCTAAACATGCACACACATGTACACCCACACATGCAAACAAACGATGTGAGCCAACTGTTTTATTTTCTAGGTAAGGCTGTTTAGGGAATTATTTTTTTGTAAGAGATACCCAGATATATCGGCAGCAAACAAATCTCTTAGGTTGTAAAAGAAAATTTTTAAGATATAGGAGTACTTAAAAAAAAAAAAAAAGAAGTGCCACCGAGGTGGGGAAATGCATGTGATGTTAAAATAATAAAAGTAGAATTTAATATCAAACAGCACACATAATTTTGCAATATAAAATCATATTAGAGATATACTAGAAATAAAACTTTTGACATTTAATTATCTCTGGGTATGGAGAATTTAGAATATTTTATTTTCTTCTTTGTACTTTTCTGCTTCTTCAAAAAAATTCAGATGAACACACATATTGATTTTAGGATCAGAAAAAAATATATGAAGATACTTAAAATTATTTTTCTTACCACCAACAAAAAATAAATATCCTGGTGACTTATTTTTCTTACCACCAACAAAAAATAAATATCCTGGTGATTTAAGCTGGAGCAACAACTTAAATTTCCTCAGTAATTTGAAGGATATAAATGTCTATTTGGCTAGGGTGATTCATAATATTATTTCATTTCTCCAGTTCTCTACTGCAAAATCACAACCCAAGTGACAAACACAAGCAATCAAGAGGGAAGTCTTGGACAGTTGGGAGTGAAAGGTTTTACAATTTGTTAAACATTTAGGATAACAGACCATTGTTGGGAAAGTACTATCACACTAACACTGAAAAAAAATCTGCACAAATAAAAAAGACTTTCAATCTGGATTCTATCTTCCATCCTAGCCAAAAATGTCAGGGTACTTTTTTCTCCATTCCAAAATAGATATTTTTGATATTTTATGGAAAATGGGGCATAAATATTTTATATAGTTATCTTCTCTCTACCGATGCAGCAGAATATCGTAAGGTTTGTCTTTCCAATAAAATGCTTTATTGCAAGCACAGTTGAATTCTCCTTGGCTGAGCCTCTGATTTGTGCAACAAAATTCTAAGATGAAAAGAACAAAGACTTCTGCAAAGTGCTTGGTTCTCTGCTAATTTTTAAAGCGTTATAAAATTGTGTACTTCTTACTAAATGTTGTCCATTTTCATTAAAAACAATGAAATAAGTATTTCCTTATGTCTTGATACATTTTTAGTAACAGAACGTGTTTTTAGAAAGCTGAGAGCAAATGAAAATTTTAAAACCCATTATTTATAAATGAATATATTTCTCTATGAAAAGACTTGTATTTGTACCTACTATAAAAATAGTATGCATAATGTTTCCGTAATTAATGTATTTATGAAAGTTTAAAATATTCAGTGAATGTACTTTTTGATTGCCAAAATTCTATACAAAATTAACATAGAAAAGTTGATCTTCCTCACTTCTTCAGACACTACAATCTGAAAAGGTTAAAATTTCCATATAAAATCCACTGCTCTCTGTTCAGTATTAAATATGACAGTGGCATTTCTGACATGCAGCATGTTCCTGCAAGGGCAAAAATGAATTAAAAAATTCTGTGTATGCAAGCCACTTAAGGGTCATTTGATGTTAACTTGGCAGTATCTACTGATTTCGGCTATAGTTTTACTTACGTCTGAATGTTAGAGTCACCGTTATCCTATTACTGACACTCTGAACTGTCCATTTTCACTCTTGGTTATTTGATTTAGACACAAAAAATGTAGAGTTTCAACATTGTTTGGTATGATTACTATATTCTAAGTATCTGAGATTGACCCATTGTGTTTGTGCTGAATATCACTCATCAGGATGAAGAGGTATAATGCAAATAGATGCAAAGGAATAACCCTTGCTTGCAATGACAAAGATAACAATGGAGGAAATCTACAAAATGTAATAACATACCCCCCTCTTTCTTACAAATATCTGTGTGACCTAATATCTCATTTTTAAAAATGTTAGGATGTCGTATTCCCTATATAAGTCCCGCTTCACTATGTCAGCACTATTAAGGCAATATATCTGTCAAGCTTTATTAAAATTATTTTTGATGTGTATCTTGGCTCATAAACCTCTATAGTGCGCTGATATTGCACCAGGGAATGTCCTTGTAACATTGAATCTCTGAAGATGGGACAATAAAATAGAAATCCTCCAAACTTTCAAGTTGGGCCCATGGTATCACACACCTTGCCTACCCTCCTCACTCGTACATGTGTAAGTGATTACAGTGTGCCTGCTGTGCAAACCTTGTTTCACAGAACCCTCTCATAGGAAGAGCATAATTGCATTCAGAAATAAATGTCCAAAAATGGGCAGCATTGAGACTGGGATAAACGTCAGGTTCATTTTTCTTCATAAAGCTGTTTTACAAGCAGCATTCTCTGAGTTATAGCACTAGTGTTTTATCCTTGGGTCTTTTTTATTTGTGCTGTACTTTAATTGGCATATTTCACCCGTGGATGTTCCCTATTAGTAACAAAGACGTCTCATCTGTTTGTTGCACACATTTTCCACGGTCCCAGGGAAGTTCTTGTATTTGAGGGGGATAGGCAAACAGTAGACATGCCAATCATAATGAGTTTTCTGAAAGCTCATCATGGTTGTACATACCCAGAATATACCCCTGGGAAAAACTGCTAGGGTAGGAAGGTACAAAAATAGGTAAAGAGGAGCTGAACACAGGAAAGGTAAACCCAACATATCAACAAAATCAATCAAAATATGTTCATTATTTTCCTGTTTTTAGCATTATTCTAGAATAGTACATTTCAAATTATCTGTTTGGGGTTCAAATTATCTGAACAATCTTTGGTTGATTGATTTTTCCCAATATATCACAACCTGTTCAGGGTATCTAATTCTTCCTGATTTAAGCTAACAGGGTTGTATTTTCCAGGAATTTATCCATCTCTTCTAGGTTTTCTAGTTTATGTGCGTAAATGTGTTCACAGTAGCCTCGAATGATCTTTTGTGTTTCAGTGGTGTCAGTTGTAACATCTCCTGTTTCATTTCTTAGTGTGGTTATTTGGATTTTCTTTCTTCTTTGCTTGGTCAATCTTGCTAATACTCTATCAATTTTATTTATCTTTTCAAAGAACCAGCTTCAATAACAAGCAGTGAGATTGAAATGGTAATTTTAAAATTACCCACAAAAAAAGTACAGGACCAGACAGATTCATAGCAGAATTCTACCAGATATCAAAGAAGAATTGGCACCAATCCTTTTGACACTATTCCACAAGATAGAGAAAGAAGGAACCCTCCCTAATTCATTCTATGAAGCCAGCATCACCCTAATACCAAAACCAGGAAAGGACACAACCCAAAAAGAAAACTACGGACTGATATCCTCGATGAATATAGATGCTAAAATCCTTAACTAAATACTAGCTAACCGAATCCAACAACATATCAAAAAAATAACCCACCATGCTCAAGTGGGTTTCATATCAAGGATGCAGGGATGGTTTAACATATGCAAGATCTTGGCTCAGAAACCTCTATAGTGCGCTGATATTGCACCAGGGAACATCCTCATAACATTGAATCTCTGAAGACGGGACAATAAAAGAGAAATCCTCCAAACTTTCAAGTTGGGCCCATGGTATCACATACCTTGCCTACCCTCCTCACTTGTACATGTGTAAGTGATGACGATGTGACTGCTGTGCAAAGTTTACACAGCAGTGTAAACGGTGATAAGCCACAGTTTACATTCAGAATAAATGTGATACACCACATAAACAGAATAAATGTGATACGCCACATAAACAGAATTAAAAACCAATATATCATGACCTGATACCTGATCCTATTGAGTACAACTAATATGCCGCTCACACATAGGAGCCTCACCATGCAAATTCAACATCCCAGGAAAAGTCCCATTGATGGTGTCAGAGCAATGTGAAATTGATGTAAAGATTTTTTTTTAACTTTCAATTTTGGTGTGTATCTTGTGGCAAAACAGTAACAGCCTATTTATGAACATGCAGCAGTCCACGAACCAAGCTTTGCACACCTTGTTCTAGAATGTGTAGGGGAAGATAAGTTAACTTCCCAACCAATTAAACCACTCAAGTCAACCTGCGCTTGCTAAAGTCATTAACATCCTAATGGCCACATCCTAAGGTCTGTTTTCTCTGCCCTTTCCACTTAACTATCTGCCACAGTTGATGCTATTGATTAGTCTATTTCTTGAATTCTCTCTCTCTTTACTTTCAGGAGGGCGTGCTTTGCTGGTTCTCATCATTTGTCTTTGTTTTCAGAACTCTCTTTAAATGTGCACAGTCTCTGACATTTCATCTGATCCTGATTCTTCTTTCTCTAGATAAATGTTGCTATCCTTTGCCAACAAACATTTATATGTTGGTGATATTCAAATCAGTCAGCAGGCAGACAACTGTTCCCAAACAGTTCCATCCCTGACTCTGGGGACAGGGCCCTAAACTATGCATCGTGGCTGTTGAGCTGGAGGGTCTCTGCGGTCTTTCCAGATGTGCTCCCCAATCTGCTCCATGCTGCTTTGACTCAGGTCTCATCACCCCTTGTCTGGTTAATTGCAACAGCTTCCCATCCCAGCACCTGCCATCAGTGTGTCTCCTTTCAGCCAGTTTATCAGCTCCCTGCCCATCTTTCTTAAGTGAAAAAATAACCAATTATATATTTGTCTTTTAAAAAATCTTAGCTGGTGGTCCACAGCTCACGTGATGCTCTTCAAATTCCTTAACTTAAAAATAATATGCCCAAATGATATGGTTCAAATCTACTTCCCGGCCTCATTTCCAAACAACCATAACATTTCATGATTTATGCCTTTGCACATGCTGGGCCCTTGGCAAGAAAGCCATACCTCTTTTTTCCCTCTGTGAGATGCTATTCATTCTTTAAGTCCACATCTGATGATTCCCTACTCTAAGATGTCTGCTCCCGTTTCCCAAGGTAAAGGGAAACATGTATTTCCATTGGTTCATATAGTATTTTATCCATACGTCTGTCACCCTGATTAATTACACTACACTTGGACTTTTCATAATGTCTCTCTTCGTGATAGACTGTGAATCCCTCAAGGACAATGCCATTCATTGTTTTTCCCTCTGTTTCTTATAGAGAAGTGCCTGGCACATAGTAGGTGCTCAGCCCATGTCTGTCTCTTGAAAGTACTGGAATGCTTCTATCCACAGAAACTGTTTTAAATTATGCAGGCAGAATAGACAAACAAAACCATTAGTGAAATAGATGGTTTTCATTCAAGGGTTCAGTTAAGGTCTCTATCCTTGTCTCCTGCAAATCATTGCTTTGTACTTTATGGCTCAAGGATAACATGCTTGTAGCTCCCTGCACACATCATTCAGTTTCACACCTCTGCACTTCTGCTCTGTTACTGCCTCTGCCTAAAATGTCCTTCACTGTGCTAGGTGCCCTCATCACCTGCCCAACACCTATGCAACCTTTAACACATGGTTCAAGGAAAGTTTACTTGTGACTCCTCCTACCAAATTAAGCTAGGTGCCTCTCCTCTCAGTTCCCAAAGCATTTATTGCATAATAAATGTTCATTACATAAATAATGTTCATATACATAAATGAATATGTATTCATTATATATTGACATTATTTGCTTCTGTTTCACTCTTCCTAATTATTACTTGTAAATGCTGTAACCTGCTTAGTCTTCATGTCTCAGGAAGTTAACCGACAGTACTTGACATACAAAATACAAAGAACAAATGTTTACTGATCAGGACTGAGCTAAATCTCTATAGTGGCTCTGTTTTTACAAGAGTTAACATTTGGGTCAGATGAAGGTTGGATTATCATAACCACCTATCTCAGATTGTAGAAGACAGAAGTTTATATTCGATAGGTACAATACAGTTATTAGGACTGTGGTTCCAAACAAGTTTTTCTAGCCATGGTACATTTAGATAGGGTTATGGAATCCCTAACTTCTTTCAATATGAATAAAACTTCAAAATCAGATTCAGTGGAGAGACAGGTGGTTGTTTTAACTGACTTCCTATACATAGTATAATTTTACCATGAAGTAATATAACTCAGACATAGGTTACTGGAAACATACACAAGCTACAAAAGAACAAGATTACACAAATAGCCTTTAATTCATTGGAAATAGATAGCTTCATTTTCCTTGGTTTATACTCTCTTCTTAACAATCTTCCATATTTACATACCTAGGCTATACATTTTGCAAGATTACTTAAAATTAATGAGAAAAACTTAAATTGTTTCAATCAATATAATCAAATTGTTTTAATCAAAGTGAAACTTTCTTACTGCTGGAGACTCAACTGTGATACATTCCATATGCTGTTCTAGAGGGGAAAATGTTCTTTTCTTCTACTGACACCTGGACTTTCTTATACTCTTGTAATTTCTAGTGCTTAGCACAGTATCTGAACCATGGTAAGATTCTTGCATTTTTAATGATTTATCTTAATAATCTATTTTTGTTATTATGGTTCCTAGTCCCAATATCAATTTCTTACTATTTTTATTATGAAATTATTTATCAAGTGCAAAGTACTTTCTAAATATAATATAATACTCGAAATACCATCATAAGACAGCAGTCACAGATTATGCTGATTTAAAAGTTGTAAGCATAGAAACATCATTGATAATTTCAAAAGGCTTGCCAATTATTCATAACACTGTATATTATTGAAGTAATCTACATAGAAAAATTATCAGTTACAGAAATGAATACACTAATCACAAATGAACTATAAAAAAACTTTCATTCACCTAAGGCCTTTTTGTGATTGTGTTCATTTCTGGAATGCCCTCCCAAAAATTAACTCCAATCCAAAAACCACCACAGAAGGACAAAACAAGTAACTCAGGTGATAATGACAACAGGTGATCTTTGTATTCTCAATTCTTTCTCAAAAGCAAACGCTAAATAGAATACAATTTCTCTTGTAAATTGAATCCATGGTAAATTCTTCAGAATGGTTTTCCATTGTGATCAGAGAATACTTTAAACAGAGGCATTTGATAACCTCTATTTCATTAAATTTGGTAATAACATTTTTCCTTATAGTGCATCAACCACATTTATTGAAAGTTGACTTTGTCTGTTGCTTTCTAGGCACACATTAATGCAAAGCTGTTTAGTTGGGAATGAACCACTTAAGAGGCTCTTCGAGCAAAAACATCAGTCTATGTAGCAGACGTAGGTGGGTGTCTGTTGATGAAAATATTCCGGTTTTACTAAAGACTAAAAGTCAGACTTTCTTTTCAAAGTCATGAGCCACAGGAAGAAAGATTTTTGATAGAGAGATGGATAGAGAGATAGTTGACAGTATTTGTCAATAGTTCAAGTTATATGGATCCCAGCTCTACTACCTCCCCCATTTGTCTGTAATAAATCAATGAGATGACTTGCAAAGTTGAAATGATTGCTCTTGACACAATTTACAGCGTTTACTCATAGAGGTCACTTCTTAAAAATTTTTAAATTTATTTATTTATTTATTTATTTAGAAGGAGTTTTGCTCTTGTTGGCCAGGTTGGAGTGCAATGGCGTGATCTTGGCTCACTGCAACCTCTGCCTCCCGGGTTCAAGCGATTCTCCTGCTTCAGCCTCCCAAGTAGCTGGGATTACAGGCATGTGCCACCACACCCGGCTAATTTTGTATTTTTAGTAGAGACAGGGTTTCTCCATGTTGGTCAGGCTGGTCTCAAACTCCTGACCTCAGGTAATCTGCCTGTCTCGGCCTCCCAAAGTGCTCAAATTACAGGTGTGAGCCCTGCGCCTGGCCAGAAGTCACGTTTTTTTGAGACAGGGTCTGGCTCTGTTGCCCAGGCTGAAGTGCAGTGGCACGATCTCGGCTCACTACGACCTCCACCTCCTGGGCTCAAGCCACTCTCCCACTGCAGCCTCTCAAATAGCTGGAACTACAGGTGCATGCCACCATGACTGGCTAATTTTTGTATTTTTTGTAGAGATAGGATTTTACCATGTTGCCTAGGCTGGGTCTTGAACTCTTGAGCTCAAGCTGTCTACCTGCCTCGGCCTCCTCAAGTGCTAGAATTACAAGTATGAGACACCATGCCATGCCAGAAGTCACTTTAAAGTCATGTCTTCTTAGTGTAAATGGCATCAAGATGGACTAGTGAAGACACTATAGTCATTTCCACATTTGCCTTTATAATTAATAAAGACTGGTTTAAGCAGACAATCTGTTAATATCTCTTTATGAAGCCCTCTCTCTTCCTCACAATGTCTGACAAGCCTTCAGAGTGACGGCTGGTATCCATGTTTCCACTCACTAGTGGTGGAAGATAAGGGAATGACGGTGGTATTTTAATAAAGGGACAGTGCTAAAAAATAGTCTGAATCCATTCTGTCAAGGTGCCCACATTATCAAAATTTATTTTTTTCTTCATTTTAGAGCTCTTCCTTCCATGCCTTTCTGACATCACTTAGCACAATATGGAACATGGAAACTGACTTGCTAGCAGGTCCATGAACAGTAGTTAGTACTACAAACAACTGAGGGTAGCTCAGGGACTCAATTGTAGTTACACAGGTAGAAACAGAGATGGAAAATGGTAAAATCTTTCTACATCTTAATTTATTTCATTAAAAAAGCTTTACACAATACATTCATGTATACATGCTTGCACATACATGCATGCACACACACACACACACTCCTCAAGCACCTGGCTTAAGAAATAGTATGTTATTGATAACTTTAGATATCTCTATGTATCCCTCCTTCATCTTACCTCCAAACTGCATCTCCAGAGGTAACCACCATCTGATTCTTTTTATCATTCTTTGAAATTTCTTTGGAGTTTTACTACATATATTTTATTCCTAAACAATGTATTGCTTAGTTTTACATTTTTGAACTTCATAAAAATGTATGTATTTTAGATGACTTGATGTTTATCTCTCACAATGAGGTTTCTGTAACTCATTCATGAGCACTTTCTATGCTCTGGAAAATTTCATGATGTGAAGAGATAACCATTTAGGCAGATGGGCCATTTGTGACGTTTCTACTTTCTATGTCATTGTAAAAGATCCTGCTACAAACACTCTTCTACACGTCTAATTGTATGCACATGTAACAGTTTATCCGGATGAAATTGAAGTTTTAGAATAGGTACATCTTCAACAATACAGGTATTTTCAGATTATTATCTAAAGTGAGCATATAAATTGATAATTCCACCAGCAATGCATGGAGGTTCCTGATATTCCACCTCTCATCAACACTTGACATGCTCAAAATGGTCATTCACACAGAAAATGAATCCTGGCTGGCTGACCATAGATATTCACTAAGAATCACATAGTGCTTCTAAGAGTCACATGGTGCTTCTAAGAGTCAGACCTAGAGTTATAGTTACTTAAAATAAACTGGCCCCATCTGAAGGCTAGAAAAAGACTGTTTGTATCCATAAGATGGCAAGCAGAAGTTTTAAAAATAATTCTGTTGATGCTTACAATTTAGACCTCCATTTTTCTGGTAAGAAATTTCCCAATAATGTTCTGAACATTATGTCAAAACATTTGTGTCAAACTGCTGTGTTCTGCCAAAGAGGTAAATTTTCCAGTCAAAGCAATTAATTAGAAGATATTCATGATGTCTTTCAAGATTAAAAAGTCACCATAAATGTAGAGAGAAACTGAAGAGAAAAAAAAAAATCACTCAAATCAGGATGCAGGAGATAAGCTAGTTTGTTCATCTCCATTTGGGAATTTTGCTTTGAGTTTTCTAACTCTTCTGTCATCATTTCTCCAACTCTAAATCACTCAATTAATAGACCATAAAGAGGCTTCAGGTTTATGAAGGGCTTAAACCTCAAACACAATTCTTGCTTCTCTTCTTAATGTATTTAGTCTTTGTGATATTTTATTCTTATTACAAAAATACCTTGGGTGTTGAAAATCATCATAGTACCAGTAGATCACAAATTGCTAGTTTAGTCGGCTCTAGACCATCTTGTAATCATTAGGTGAGGAAGTTCATTGGTAAAATACTTAAATTCCTGAGACAAATTATTCACAAAAGCATTGCTCAGCTTCTTTCAAACCAAGGCTATATATATATATACCATCTCTCTCTCTCTCTCTCTCTCTCTCTCTCTCTCTCTCTCTCTCTCTCTCTATCATCTACCTATCTACCCATCCATCCATCCATCCATCCATCCATCTATCTCTCTACCCATCTCCAAAAGGCAGTGCCCAAATGTCAGGATGGGGCTTATAATTTTAACTGATTAGGGATGATGATGAAACTCAGGTCAAACAAGCCAATATCTGCAAGGAACAGTTAACTTTCCAAGGTTAAATGACCTACGGACTATATTCCATGCCCACAGCAATTGTTCTGCAAAAGAATGGTGGTCTTGAAGGGATCAGTGGGAGAGAGAATACAGTGTTGGAAAATACATTTCTCACCACTTCTAGAGAAAAAGGTCATACTCTACTGATGGTTGGCTCATGAGGTCATCCTTCGCCAGAAGGAATAGCGTGTTAGACTTTGGTCAACAAAGACCTCAGTTGAGGCAGTCAGAGAGTGACCAAGGGGAGACACCATCTCTAGGCAGTTGTGAATGACACTCACTGAAAAACAGGAGGGATAGCCAGCAGCAGCCTCCCTCATGGCTTTGTAGACACTTTGCTAGAAAATATTCTGTTATCTCACCGGAAACTTGCCAGATCATAATACACACATCTAAACATTATTAACACTCAATTAGAATAAATACACATAATCAGGCATATATCCATCCATACTTTGAATTTCTTAATTCATATTTCTCAAAGGCTGGCTACATGTTTATCCTTCAACAAAATCAAAAGCTTCAGCTTGCAGCCTCTGTGACTAATCCTATTATTGAGTTTAACTTATTAAATTAATTTACACTTATTTTACAACAAAATGCATCTACTCAAGAAAATATGGAATGCATATTTATTTTCTACACTTATTCATATTTTACTGACAGTCCTCAGGTGATGATATTTCCTCTTGCTATTCTACCTAGCTAATTCCTTATAAATGCATTTCTGGGGCTCTAGTTTCTTTGGTATCTAAAACATTGTTGAGATTCAATGTAAGGACATTATATATATATATATATATATATTTTTTTTTTTTTTTTTTTTTTTTTTTTTTTTTTGAGTTGGAGTCTTGCTCTGTCACCCAGGCTGGAGTGCAGAGGCTCGATCTCAGCTCACTGCAAGCCCCGCCTCCCAGGTTCATGCCATTCTCCTGCCTCAGCCTCCAGAGTAGCTGGGACTACAGGCGCCCACCACCACGCCTGGCTATTTTTTTGTATTTTTAGTAGAGATGGGGTTTCACCATGTTAGCCAGGATGGTCTCGATCTCCTGCCCTCGAGATCTGCCCGCCTCAACCTCCCAAAGTGCTGGGATTACAGATGTGAGCCACCGCGCCCGGCAAAGATATTATTTTAAACATTAGAATCATATGCCCTTTATATTGATAAATAAGCCCTTGTAATTATTTCCTTCAGCGCCTTCCTAGAAATAATCTTTCTGTATGCTCAAATAAACGTTTAGGAAATTAACAATTTAAAATGGGCTATTACGGATTTTACTGACAGTGCAATAGAGAAACATTTGTAAGGGTACACACCATCTTTATGCTAGGATGTAAATATTGAGGAGACCAAAGTGTCAAAAAAAAAAAAAGAAGCATTGTAGGACAGTACCAATAGTTATGAAAAATACTGTGGCTCTTTGGCACAGCCCTCCAATAGAAAAGTAGTGTTTGGGAATAATCCTTATACAAATACACCTTCTTGGAGTGACATAATACCAGATTCCTGTTACGTATTATTTTTAACTTTACTTCTTTAAGTAATTGTCTTTCATTTTATTTGGAGGACTGACCTCACAAGTGCCTTAAATGTCAAGAAAGAACTTAAACAAAAGCAGATATCCTCTACACAGGAAATATTCAATGTTTAAGTAGTGGAATGTAGAATTATCCCTTATATCCAAGGTATAGAGATGTTATCTTCAAGAAAGGCCCAAAAGTAGATTAATGATTGATCTTATTCATAAGCCCAAGGCAATGCATGGTATGAAATTACAAAGATAAGGGGTAACAAAAGAAATTCTCTAGGAGAATCTATACTTGGTACTCATTAGTCCTTCCTAATCCAGTAATACAGGTGTCAGCAAAGGGCTCTTCTTTTACCATGAAGGAATTTGGCCACATTGACATGTGTTGAAAAAGAAGAAATGCCAGGTGCTGATGTCCTGAACAATAACTTGTCTCCATTCGCAGGTCCATGAAGACTGTCATCTTGACTCCCTAGAGGATTATAACCTCTGAATGGATTCTTTCATGAGTATTTATCATCCTTAAAACCCTGATCAGAAATATCAAATGATCATAGTTGCAACGTGCCTGCTTTTGCACCATTGGTACTAAAAGCTTCTCTGCTATACTGCTGATAAGTATTAACATTAATTTTCAAACCACATAGAATGGCTTAAAATCCTGTTCTCTCTCACACAATGCAAGGAAAAGAAAGCCAGAATTATGCTTTGATATTTAACTGATTAAGAGCAAGGACCACCAATTAAGAATTTTTACCTTGGTTTTTTTTTTTTTTTTTTTTTTTTTTAAACATTGGTTTTAAAAACAGAATAAACAAGGAACACCAATGAGAAAGAAAGCACGTTTTCAATTACCTTGGAAACTCGGTTTGCAACTTCTCTGCCCACAGTCAGCCCCTGGACAAAGGTCCTGGCAGCAATGAAGGCGCGGGTAACCTGAATCTTCAGTTTCCGGGGCACGTCTCCAAATGGCTTGAGCTGGTCAGTGTATTTGCTCACACATTCCAGGTAGTCTTCACTGAAGTGATACTGAGGGTTTATCAGCTGAAACATCCGTTCCAGGAGCCGAGCCCAAAAGTCATTGAGCATTTCCTCCAGATTCACATTACCCCCAGTGTAGTACCTTTTCAGCTCTGTGAAGAGGTCCTGGAAGACTTCTGAATTCTGCATGTACAGCATGCCATAGGTCCGTACAAACATATCATTTAGTGACTTTTCTGCATTCTCCAGGAGCTCTCGGAAAAATTCTGCAGATAAAACAGAAAGAAGTCATAAATTAATGAAATCTAGAAAGCCCAAGGCACCCACTTACCTTAAGTACAACTGCTTTTAATTGACATTTTCATGGAAAAACATATCCTGTGATTAAGGTGTTAATGGACAGATAAAAAACATATTTTAAATGGGATTTGACCTACATCTATGACCTTGTACAACTCAAAACAGAATACCCCATGATTTCCATTAACATTAGGAGTCTACCATGTAATCCTCCTCCAAAATAGCTCAATTCTTTAATCATTTCTTGTTAAATTTTAAATAATCCTATGGTTTGATACAAACTCAAATCAAAATATATTGCAAATATAACGTGCAGAGTATTGTTGTTTACATAATGATAAACACATTTGCTTCAGTTTATTTATAAATTTGTCCTAACACTAAATTCCATTAAATTGCTTTTATTTGAAATAGTCCATAAATGAGATGTTCAAATTAATGTCATATTTTAGACTCTTTCTAGTTTCTATATATAGCAATCAATTAGCAATGTTCAGATATTCATAATGCAATTAAATTCACTTCATAATAAAGCTATAATGAGCATAATTTAGGTGGCCATAATGAGTCAGAAAGCCTTAAAGTATCTTGGATTATCATTACAAATATAAACCATCATGTTATAGAACTTGAATAAAATATTGACAATTGGACTTTCTGGTTATGAGGTTCTAAATGAAAAAGTGCACACCAATAATTCAAATCTTCCACTTTGCAACAGCGCTTGAGTGTTACTGGGATCCCTTATAGGATGCAAAAAAATAAGACAAAAATTAAAGCCATTGGGTATCATTAGCCTCACTGGCCCTCATGCTAGTCTCCCTCAAGACACACTTTGTGTGTGTAGGGCACCTATCCTTTTGCACAAATAAGCTTGGGTAGAGCAAGTTCAAGTTTTATCTCATTTAGAGATTATAAATTGGGGTAGGGAAAGAGCTAAGGAAAGATAATGCTTCTGAGGTTATCAATCTAAGTTCCCAAGAGTAAAATGATTCTGCTTTACCTCTTCATAGTCCCCGTTTATTGCCTGAAACTATGCCCCTTCTCAGAAATGCAGGGACAAATCAAGTCCTGCATATTTCAAAAGCTCCAGGAATTTTTTAAAAGGACTCTTCTCCTTTCTGGGGTTCTGGGTATTCTCTGCTAAGATACAGAAAGGAAATAGTGACGAACACCTCTCCATTAATTCCATGGAAGCTACTTGTGCATTCTTAGAAGTTGGCTGAAGAAGTGCTTGGTTTAGCCACTTCAGTTCTGATTAATATACAATCAAACCATTGTCTTGATAATTAAATGGTGTCTATAATAATGATAAATGTTTTATATTTGTTTTCAAATCAGACCAAAGCAGCAATGAAAGTACTTTTCATTTGTTTACCTCCT